>NC_000004.12:129830471-130133502 GCF_000001405.40 Homo sapiens | reverse complement strand
TCCAGGATTTGTTTCAAGATTTAGAGCTCCTTTTAGCAGTTCTTATAGTGGTAGTTTGGTAGTGGCAAATTCTCTCAGCATTCGCTTGTCTGAAAAATACTCTATCTTTCCTTTATATATGAGGCTTAGTTTCACTGGATACAAAATTATTGGCTGATAATTGTTTTGTTTGAGGAGGCTGAAGATAAGACCCCCATCCCTTCTAGCGTGTATGGTTTCTTCTGAGAAAACTTCAGTTAATCTGATAGGTTTTTCCTTTATAGGCTAGCTGGTGCTTTTGTCTCACAGCTCTTAAAATTCTTACCTTCATCTTAAATTTAGATAACCTGATGATGCTGTACCTAGGCAATGTTTTTTTTTTTGTGATAAATTTCCCAGGTTGTCTTTGTGCTTCTTGTATTTGGATGTCTAGGTCTCTAGCATGGCTGGGAAAGTTTTCCTCAATCATCCCTCCAAATATGTTTTCCAAACTTTTAGATTTTTCTTCTTCCTCAGAAACATCAATTATTCTTAGGTTTTGTCATTTAACATAATCCTAGACTTCTTGGAGGCTTTGTTCATATTTTCTTATTTTTTTTCTTTGTCTTTGTTGGATTAGGTTAATTCAAGGAACTTGTCTTTGAGCTCTGAATTTCTTTCTTCTCCTTGTTCAGTTCTATTTCTGAGACTTTCCAGAGCATTTTGCATTTCTATAAGTGTGTCCATTGTTTCCTGAAGTTATGATTGTTTTTTATTTATGCTATTTTTTTTGGATATTTCTCTCTTCACTTCTTGTGTCATGTTTTTTATTTCCTTACATTGAACTTTGCCTTTATCTGGTGTGTCCCTGATTAGCTTAATAACTAACCTCCTGATTTCTTTTTCAGGTAAATCAGGGATTTCTCCTTGGTTTGGGTCTATTGCTGATGAGCTAGTGTGATTTTTTGGGGTTGTTAAAGAACCTTGTTTATCATATTACCAGAGTTGGTTTCCTGGTTCCTTTTCATTTGGGTAGGCTATAAGAGGGAAGGTCTAGGGCTGAAGGCTATTATTCTTTTGTCTCACAGGGTATTCCTTTGATGTAGTGCTCTCCCCCTTTTCCTATGGATGTGGCTTCCTGAGAGCTGAGCTGAAGTGATTATTTATTTATTATTTTATTTATTTATTATTATTTTTTGAGATGGAGTCTCACTCTGTCACCCAGCCTGGAGTGCAGTGGTGCAATCTCTGCCTCTCAGGTTCAAGCAATTCTTTTGCCTCAGTCTCCTAAGTAGCTGAGATTACAGGTGAGCACCACCACACTTGGCTAATTTTTTTGTATTTTTAGATGGGGTTTCACCATATTGGCCAGGTTGGTCTCGAACTCCTGACCTCGTGATCTGCCTGCCTAGGCATTCCAAAGTGCTAGGATTACAGGCATGAGCCACTGCGTCTCACCTGAAGTGATTATTATCTCTCTTCCAGATCTAGCCACCCAGCAAATCTACCAGGCTCCAGGCTAGTACTGGGGATTGGCTGTACAGAGTCCTGTGATGTGAACCATCTGTGGGTCTCTCAGCCATGGATACCAGCATTTGTTCCAGTGGAAGTTGCAGGGGAAGGAAATATACTCTGTGAAGGTTCTTAGCTTTGGTGGTTTTAATGCAATATTTTGGTGCTGGTTGGCCTCCTGCCAGGAAGTGGCACTTTCCAGAAAGCATCAGCTGTTGTAGTACAGGGAGGAACAGCCGGTGGGCAGGGCCTAGAACTCCCAAGAGTGTATGCCCTTTGTCTTCAGTTACCAGGGTGGGTAGGGAAGGACCATTGGGTGGGGGCAGGGCTAGGCATGTCTGAACTCAGACTCTCCTTGGGCGGGTCTTGCTGCAGCTGCTATAGCGGAGAGGGATGAGGTTCCTGGGTCAATGGAGTTATGTTCCTAGGATGATTATGACTGTCTTTACTGCATCACACAGATTGTCAGGGAAATGGGGGAAAGCCAGCAGTCACAGGCCTTACCCAGCTCCCACGCAATCCAAAGGGCAAGTCTATCTCCCACCATGCCCACTCCCAACAGCACCAAGACTGTTCCCAGGCAGTGGGTGAGCAGGACTGAGAACTTGCCCCAGGCTACCTGCCTCCCAGCTGCAAAAGCAAATATGGCTTTCCTTCTACCTCAGCCTGTGGAGTCTCTACATTGGATTCATGCCCTCCCCCAAGTTCTGGCCAGGAGACTTCTTGATCAGTTCAAATTGTTGCAAAGTTCAGCTGAGGTTTCCTTCTCCCTGTGGCCTTTTCCCAGCACCTCTGTCCCCATCCTGGAGGATCCCTGTGAGGCCAAGCATAAACAGCTTACTAGGGGACCCAGTGAAGTCCCAGGGCTTTTCCCACTACTTCCTCTACCCCTGTATTTTGTTCAGTTCTCTAAATTGACTCAGCTTCAGGTAAGGTCAAAATCTTCTCCCATAGTCTAAGCCTTTGGTTTCCCCAGTGGGGGTGAGTATTTGTGGGTGGACGATCTCCATTTCCCACTTCTACGTTTGGATACTCACTGTATTCGGGTTGTCTCCTGGGTCCTGCAGGAGCAATCTGGCTCCTTCATGGGGTCTGTAGGTCCTCTGAAGTTACCTGATTTATTCCTGCAGTTGTTCTGGAGCATAAATTCATGATGTGAGCCTCCACACGCTGTTCCAATGCCGAGTCAGAGCTTCAGTCTAGTCCTGCCTCTCATCCTCCATGATTTCAATATATGCCAGAAATACATTTTTGTATTTCCCTTTAAGAGAAGCTGATGGTGCCAGTTTTCTTTTAAAGGACTAAAAAGTCCTTTAAAAATCTGTATTTTACTTTTATTCTTAAAAGGATACTTATTATTAGATATAGACTTATAGGTTTGTAGTTAATTTTTTAACACATAGAAAATATCAATACATTGTCTTCTGGTTTCTGTTATTTCCTCTGAGAATTCTGCTCAGTTTGTCACTCCTTTCCAAATGGTATATGCATTGTACTCCTTTCTGACTGCTAATATTTTCACTTTGTTTTTGTTCTTCAGCAATTTCATGGTAATTTTTGTTGTATAGCCTTCTTTATATTTAAATTGATTTGGGTTAATAGAGAACAAATCTGTGTCTTAATATCAGTCCTGAAAAATCTTAATTATTTCTCATCATTCATTGCTTATATTCCTTTTCTTTTTCTGCTTTTCTCCTAGAAACCTAATTTCATTTAAGTTCAGATATTTCTCTCCATCCTCTGTGTTTCTCACCTTCTCCTCTGTATTTTCCACCCCTTTGTCAATCTATGCTTTATTCTGCATATTTTCATCAGCTCTGTCTTCCAGTTTATATATTCTCTTTCAGCTACATTAAATCTGCTGATCTATCTATTGAGGTTTAAAAATATTGTTAACAGGCCGGGCACGGTGGCTCACACCTGTAATTCTAGCACTTTGGGAGGCTGAGGCGGGCAGATCACAAGGACAGGAGATCGAGACCATCCTGGCTAACACAGTGAAACCCCATCTCTACTAAAAATACAAAAATTAACAGGGTGTGGCGGCGTGCACCTGTAGTCCTAGCTGCTGGGGAGGCTGAGGCAGGAGAATGGTGTGAACCCGGGAGGCGGAGCTTGCAGTGAGCCGACTGCGCCACTGCACTCCAGCCTGGGAAACAGAGCGAGACTCTGTCTCAAAAAAAAAAAAAAAAAAAAAAAAATACATTGTTAACAGATTTTAATTTAAAAAACAGTTTTAGATTTACAGTTCCTATTTTATTAACACCACATATTAACATGGTACATTTGTTACAATTAATAAACCAATATTGATACCGTACTATTAACTATCATTCATTGTTTATTCAGATTTTCTAAGATTTTATCTAACACCCTTTTCTTTTCCAGGATACTATCCAGGAAAACATATTACATTTAACTTTCATATATCCTTAAGTTACTTTGCCTGTGACATTTTCTCAAGTGTTTCTTCTTTTGGATGACCTTGACAGTTTTGAGAAGTCAAATATATTGTAGGATGCCCCTGTGGAATGTATTTGATGTTTGGATTTTATTTCATATTTAGACAGGGCTTATTAGATCACGCAGGTAAAGTACTATTTTCATTTCATCATATCAAGGGTCCATATTATTAACATGCTTTATAACTTCTCATGTTGACCTTGAACGCCGCCTGGCTGAAGTAGTATTTGTCAGGGCTCTTTACCCCCTTTCCTTTTTGGAAAGGAAGTCACTCTGTGCAGGCTACACTGAAAGACTGAAGAATTAGTCTCCACTTCCTTTAGGGCAGAATATTTAAGTAAATTATTCCAAATTCTTCTTCATGAAAGATTTCTCTCTTATTCCCCATTGATTTATCTATTCAATCATACCTTTATATTGGTATGGAATTAGAAATATTTATTTAATACTTTGGGCTTTAATCCAATACCATTTTATTTATCTTGTAGCTCAAATTGTTCCAGTTTTGCCACTGGGACCTCTTTTATTTGGCTCCTGTGTCCTTTGAATATACTCATCCTTCTGTTTGGTTGATTTTCTGTCTTCTTATATTCTGGCACTACAAGATGATCCAGGCTCATTTTGTATATTTCCTGTACCATCCCTACAATTAGCCACTTCTCTGAGGTTCCCTGGTTCCTTGTATTGGAGAAAAATATTAGAAGCCAGTATCCTGGTACTGCACATGATCATTGCTACAGGTGTGTTTTATGGAGTTTTACTTTTGATTATGTATTTTTTTACGTTTGTAATTACTATATTATAGTAATTATAAATTTGTTTAGCTTTATAATTAATATATTATCATTTCAAAAATGTTTTGTCCTTTTTGTTTTTCTTTTCAATCCTCTGTTAAAATTGTCTTTTATAACTGTAAGCAGGCAAATATAATTATTTTTAAGCCTGTGTCTGATAATTCTACTATCTAGAGTCTTTCTGGAGATGTTTTTTTGGATATTTTCTTAGTCCATTTTCTGTTGCTATAACAGAGTACCACAGACTGAACAATTTATAAAGAAAATCAATTTATGTTTTACAGTTCTGGAGGCTGGGAAGTCCAAAGTAGAGAGATCACATCTGGTGAGGCTTTTCTTGCAGCATCATAACATGGCAGAAGCATCACATGGCAAAAGGGCAAATGTGTGCCAGCTCAGGTCTCTGTTCCTGAACAAAGCAATCAACCTCATCATGGGTTCCCCATCTGGATGACTTTATCATCCTAATTACCTTTAAATACTCTACCTCCAAATGCTATCAGGATATATACTTGGGTATTGAGTTTCCAACACATGAAATTTGGAGAACACATTTAAACCATAGCAGATATTATTACTTCTTTTGGTTGCTCAAGTTGTCCTAGGCTTCACTTGATTGTTTTTCATGGTCAGAGTATTGTATCTGAAAAATAGTGAAAATAATTGAAAGTCTAGGATTATGCTATCTTTCTCCATAAATAGTTAACATTTGTGTATGGGAGGTGGCTGGGGCACTAACAATACAGCAATCCCTGGATAGATGAACTCAAACACCCAAATTAAAGACCTATCAGAAGAAAATGCATACAACTTTAGAAATTAAGACCATTTATTTTAGTTTCTACAATCCTACAATTTCTGGCTTTCAAAAAAAGAAAACAGAAAGTTTACAAGGCATACAAAAAAGCAAGAGGAACAAGACACTGCCAAGGGACAGAACCAGACTCAGATATAACACAAATGTTAGGGAAAAAAGTGAACAGATAATTTAAAATAATCATGACTCAAATAAGGCACTAATGGAGAATCTTCATAGTGGATGTTTCCAAAGAATTCATGAAGACATCCATGACTGATATAATGAACTATAAATATCTACCATGAACCAAGTGCATTGATGCTAGATCACTACCAAAATCACCCTTGAGTAAACACTTTCCTGCTCTGCTTATCTCCCTCTACCTACTCAAACCCTGCTTCAACCTCTATTTGATATAAGCTTAGTAAATTTAGAAATTTCATCTAGCAATATGGAAGATAGGAAGTAAAACTGCTGAGTGAGCAAAAAAAAATCTATCCTTTTCTTGACTTCAACAACTCATTATGAAAACCCTGAGAAGAGAAAAGACTTATTTTAACCCCTGTTCATGGTGTTTACTACAAAGTACCAGACATTTGGTTACTGAAATAAAACTGTTTTCTTGAATTAAAAGAATCATAGACATTTTTTATTGCTTAACAGTAACCAAAGAAAATCTGAGACCCACTCAAGTTTTTATCCAGAGACTAGATAGACATAGACTACCTACCCCCACAAAATAAACATAAAAGAAGAGAAGAAAATTAAAAATCAAATGAGAGACAAACACTACGTTTTTTGTTACATTCATGATTGTACTGTTTGTGTAGTCGCTGTAATTATTAGACTTCCAGGTAGATATTGGACAAGATGATTAAGAACATATTCAATAAAGTGAGCTTGTACCTGGAATAGCAAACAACCAGTTTGATCCCTGCACGATAGGAAAGAATCCCCAATTTGGGGGAGCTGACTACCTAATGATTGAGACTCGTATTTTTATGGTTCTTTTCTCTTAAATTATAATTCGATTTTAAAACCATAAATTTTCATCTGTTTATATTTCACCACTGAAGCCATTTAAAATGGTCAACTCTTAAAATCTGGTGACAAGGTACATGTAAACCTCAAGTTTGTACAGTAAAATAAGACTTGAAAGAAGCTTTCCAAACCCAACAGATACCACCTTAACTAAGCCATCAAAATTAACATAAACAGTAATAGGACAACTCAATAGCATATGCCTTCTGATACAATGCACTGACAAAGACTTGACATCACATTTGTGAGATTTCTCCCCAAAACAAAATAAGCTGAATTAAATCATGAGAAACATCAGAAACATCCAAATTATAAAATATTCTAAAGAAGAGCTTGCCTGTTCCAAATTAAAGAATATTAAAGAGACATGACAAATGGGATACACTTATTTATTGTGTCTCTTTAGTATTTAGTATAACTGCAAATTCCAAAATCAACAGAATCACGAAACACCAAAATAACCCTTTTTCTCCCTAATTATATCTTAGATAATTACTGATGGCTCTAAGATATGGAATCCATATTTACTTGTAATTTCAATTTTACCTTCATAATTCAAAAAATTATGTTTGTCTATTTACTCATTCTGCAGAATTAAGTTGACTTTGTCATGAAGACCTTTCACATTTTAATATTACTTGCAATAACAAAAATGTCTTCGTATTACATTACCATTCAAAGATAAAATACATAATTTGACGGTCATTATTGAAAGTGCTAGGATAAATCATTTTCTGTGAAAGTAAGTGTCTACATTACACCACTATTTGAACACATTCCAGTAGGTCTAATGTCATTTTCTAATATTGACTTCTCCTAGTTAGTCTGATATTATGAAGAATTAAATATCAAGGTCAAAGCTTTAATGAAAGCAACTGTCTCTTTCCTCATCTCAAAAAATATCATCAGTTGCCTTTGAATTTTACAGGCCTCTTTGCAATATTAATAGTTTTAGAAACTTCCTAAAATGGATGTTGTCACCAAAAAAAAAAAAAGAAAAAGAAAAAAGGCAAACAAACAGAAAAAACTACATCCCCTTTTTTCATTGAAAATTTAAAAAGGAAGCTGGCCCATCGTCTGGGAGTTCTGTTCCCTGGAAGGTGGGAATAGAAGAGGATTTATGTTCTATGAGGTGGCAAAAACCAGAAGAACTTCTCTGGCTTTGGAAATGACTTTGACCTCCAGAGCGGTATTTAGAAAAGTCATTAAAAATTCCATTGCTAAACATTGGAGGGCTTCTGGCTTGTAGGGTGAAAGGGCTTGGCTGAATTTCAGCAAAAACTTAGTAACATATTATGATATGAGGAAAGAACAGAAACAAAAGGCTCTGCCTGGGTAACAGGGCTACCAGCTGAGCAACGGACTGAGAAGCTGTTGCTAAGGAGCGATTCGGAAAGTTAGAGTTCACATGGACAAATAAGAGTGGAACCATAGCAATTTGGGTAAGAAAACATCTCTAATGGTATTTTCATAGACTGGTTATAATATGTCATGTTTTTTAATTTATATAAATAATTGTTTTTAAAAATATACTTTAGAAGCTAATCATAAACCCCTCTTAAAGAAATATTTCTAAATAGAACTAGAAATTTAGGTTTACAATAAGTGAGTATTGTAACTTTTTGTAGGTAACTAGGTATGTAAGGAAAAAAAACTTGAGGACATCAACTTTGCTTAGTATTCTGATAAAAGAAGCTTCTAATTAGAAGGTGTCAGTATAAGCAGCCCTTTAAAAATTCAGTAGGCCTTTGAATCATTGTTCTAGGCAAAATTGTATTCAGCTAACACTTTGATTATGTTAATGGATAAGAAGATACTTTAGGAGCTAAACTAAACTTTTAAATAGAACAGGTGCTAAAATTTTCAAAAGCATTCATATATACAGTATGGAAGAATTGTAAGCAAAATGTTAAAAAGAAAAGCTAAATCGTTTTACAGACTTCCATAGTTAGTACAATTTATAGTTAAGTAGACTAAAGTGACACCTTAATACATTTTCGATTATCTAGAAAGTTCTGGCCTTCTGATACTTTTTGGATTGACTGAGTCTAACACAAACTTGAGTTAGAATAAGTATGTACTTTGTTTAATACTGATTCATGCCACTTGAATATTTTCTTATTTTTGTAGAGTGACACGTTTGACTGAAGTCCTTTACCCATTTTGCTAAAATTTTTTTAAATTATCAAATAAAGAAGTAATTTCTATTACAAACCAACAAATTATTTAAACAAATGAAAATTTTAGGTCATATATGTCTATATAGTATAAATCTAATTTCAATAAAATTTTAATATTAAAATTTTGCTGTATCTAATATACATGCATATAAATACATTCTATGTATCCTTAAAATACTTAAACACATATTACTTCTTTTATTCTCAGAAGTATCCTGGAACATTTAAAAATTATAACGATGGCATCTGGTGCCCTGTGATTCTCATCAAGAATTCCTAACACTGATTTTCATTTTGTTTTTAGGCAGTTACTTTAGAGGGGAAAATATAGACTCTCAAACTAATGGAAACATTCCTACAAAGTATATGGGAATTCACGGCAGTTTTACTGCTAAAAAAAAAATGTCAAAGAGAAGCTTCCCATTAAGGCCCCAAGTGAAAAAGAATGCCAACAACAATTAAGCTGAAGCAGCTTTACTGGCCCCTTTGCACTCACTTAGACAGAGTCGTGGAACATATTTAATCAAAAGGGATTGGGGAAGGATTATAAAGGATTGTGTTTACCTTACCCTGGGCATTGAATGTTCAGCAATGCGTAACAAGCCACGGAACTCCAAGATGTAACTATAAGATTTTAAAAAATGAAAGGGAAAAGTAGAAGACAATATTAAAGCAAGAAACTCCATCTCTTTTTTTTGAACTTTAGAATTTCGGTTAGTTCAGCTGAACACAGGGGACCCATCCTGTTGTTGGCAGCTAACTAGACAGTGGGAAATTGTAACTTATAGCTTTAAAGGTTAGTCTGTGTTCAAAAAAGACATATAAAGTCAGCGTGGATTCTGGCATTATTTATCATCTACAGATGCAGTCACTACAGAATGTCTCTGACTTCTGTGTCAGTGGGGAACTCTAAAACCCTGTTCAACAGGCCATCTACCTGAAAAGCACAGTCAACCTCGAGACTGAGCAAAAAAAGATGAATCAAATTGGTGTTTCCTTTTGTAAATCATCCACTCATAGTTTCAGTAACTGAAGTGCTTGAAATTATGCAAGGATAAGTGTCTACTACTCACATTTTTTTAAGGAAGAAAATTAAATAAGAGTACCTAAGTGGATAAATTTAACCTAAGCATTCATAGAAGCCTTACAAATGACAAATATATACCTATATTTTTTCATTTCTTCCCAAAGAAGTGTTTTTAAATATAAATCAAGTTTCTGGTTAAGATGCATCCAATTGAACAATTTTTTTTGAGAAAAACAAAAAAGAGCATTTGCTATGTGCCAAGCACTTCGTAATGTGATTTGGAAGAGATAAGCAGAAAAAAAGACCAACTTTACAGAGCTTGCAGTCTAGTGAGAATGATAATAAATACAGACAAATCACCTTAATACATATCAGAACATAAAACATTTTAAAAGCCACTTTAAAAAACTCAGTAATATCTTAAAGAAAGAAGAGAGAAATTCTAACCAAGAGTAATGAGTAAGATTGGGAAGTGTTCATGGAGGAGGTGAGGTGTTAATGTGGAAGTTTCTCTTTGACAGTTTCTGGGTCTTGAGCATTGAGTACAATTTCTATAGGTAGAGAAAGCAGTGAGGGATATTCTAAGCAAAGGGAACACGATTAGCGAGGAATGTTTGGAATCAAATTTGTGAGGATTCAGGAGCTTTTAAGCAGTCTGGTTCACTTGGTTGCAGACTCCATAACTTGGGCTGCAAGTTAAGTTAGGAATCCATATGAGCCCTTGTGGCAAACACTGTCATTTTGCTCAGGAAACACCAGTCATAACTCTCTTCTCCCTCACCTGCCTCCAGCACAGAAGCAGCAAAAGCTATTTATTCCCTCCTATAGCCTCACCACCTAGTAAGTGTAGAGATGAAAGACTGTTTTACTAATACAGAAAACAGGGTGCGTTGATGCTGGCCTTCCTCTCTATACTACCATCGAACTTTTTTGTTGTTGTTGTTGAGACAGAGTCTCGCTCTGTTGCCCAGGCTGGAGTGCAGTGGCATGATCTCGGCTCTCGGCTCACTACAACCTCCGCCTCCTGGGTACAAGCGATTCTCCTGCCTCAGCCTCCCGAGTAGCTGGAACTACAGGCGCACACCACCATTCCCCGCTAATTTTTTGTATCTTATTAGAGACTGGGTTTTACCGTGTTGCTCAGGCTGGTCACAAACTCCTGAGTTCAAATAATGCCCCTGCCTCGGCCTCCCAAAGTGCTGGTATTACGGGCGTGAGCCACCACACCCAGCCCATCAAACTCTTTTTAAACATGTGTTTCAATGTCAAATGAATAATGGATACATATAAGTTTGTGTATTATCTATATATAAATTAAAGAATAACTGAACCCCATATAACTACCAGGCAGTTTGAGAAATACCAAGTAATCTCACGTTTTTATAGTAATCTTTTCCTCTTATAAGCTTTTTTCAAATGTTCATTGATAGCTCACATTTAAGGGTGATGTACTAGAACAGTTCTTTGGATGTAAACAGAGTTTGTTAATTGTTTTATTATGGGCAGATGCTTAGGTATTTTATGAGTGAATTATAAAAGCTTAGTACCTGGGGATGTATTCTTTTGGGCTATTCACTTTCACCAAAAAAAATTCTAATTTTCTTTTTTTTTTTTTTTTTTTTTTTTTGAGACGGAGTCTCGCTCTGTCGCCCAGGCTGGAGTGCAGTGGCGCGATCTCGGCTCACTGCAAGCTCCGCCTCCCGAAAATTCTAATTTTCTGTTGGAGCTGTGATGGCATCTTCTAGTCATGAGGGAAAGATCAAGAGAAGGAAGAGGTGTCAGCCGTGACATCATTTAGCAGATATACTAATCAGCGTTCCTCTGAAATATCTGTTATCAAGTAATAATAAAATTCAGTTGCTCAAGCTATTGTTCATCAGTATTCTGTTATGTTTCTCTGAATATTCCTAATAGATATGAGACATCAAATCATAAATAATTTGGGAAAAATGAAATAAGAATAAACTAAATATCCTCCAAAATACCTTTTATTTCCACTGGAAATAAGTAATACCCAATAGTTGAATGAGAAGAGCTACTAAAATGCAACATTTTCCCATTTTGTCCCAACAAAAGATAAAATAAAGGCAGGGAATTATTTCCAAAGTGTAGTGGTGGCAGATAAAATGGCAGCAGCAAAAACAAAATAAAAGTTAGTACCTTGTTTAAATGGCAACCACTTACAACATGAGTCTATTAACAAGAGGTTTATACTATAATGACTGAGTTATATGTATATATAAAAATATATACACATATATTTATATGTGTATGTAAGTATATGTGTGTGTGTGTGTGTGTGTGTGTGTGTGTGTGTGTATACATACATACAGAGAGAGAGAGAGACAAGATCTTTATTTACATTTATGGCACCAGGAAGCCACAGCAGAAATCTGAGCCACTGCTCAATTGCCCATATCTAAGCTGAGAAATGGGGAATTCTTTAGGAAGTCAGAAATAATGTAATAAAATTTTCTTAACAAGATTCAGTAGCATTTTTCTGCAGTAAGCACACCATGGTTATTGTTTGGTATTTATTGTATTCTGTAGTTTCCCCAAAGTTGACTGTGACAATTTTCATAGGCTAACTGTTGTATTAGTGGAGTTATAAATTTTTGGAGTTCTATACTGCACCATTTCTTGCTCTTGCATTTATTGTTTTTATTTAATTTTTTATTTTTATACATGCAGGGTGTACCTGTGAAGGTCTGTTATGTGAATCTATTGCATAACGGTGAGGTTTGAGCCTCTACTGTTCCTATCACCTGAATAGTGAACATTGACCCAGTAAGTAATTTGTCAGCCCTCCACCTTCCTTCCCACCCACCTCCCTCTTGAAGTCCCCAATATCTGTTATTTCCCACTGTGTCCATGTGTACTCACTGTTTAGCTCCCACTTATAAGTGAGAACATGTGGTACTTGACTCTGTTTCTGAGTTATTTTTCTTGGAAGGATGACCTCCAGCTCCATTCATGTTGCAAAATACATGATTTCATTCTTTTTTATGGCTGAGTAGTATTCCAGGGCATATATATATACATATATACACACACACACACACACACACACACAATTTTCTTTATCTAATCATGTGTTGATGAACACTTAGATCGAGTCCATGACTTTGCTACTGTGAGAAGTGCAGCAATAAACATACAAGTACAGTTGTCTTTTTGATTTAACAATTTATTTTCCTTTGGATAGATACCTAGTAATGGTGTTGGTGGGTCAAATGGTAGTTCCATTTTTAGTTCTTTGAGAAATCTCCAAATAGGAGTTGTACTATTTTACATTCCCACCAACAGCATAAGTGTTCCCTTTTCTCTGCATCCTCACCAACAGCTGTTATTTTTTGACTTTTTAATAAAAGCCATTCTGACTGGTGTAAGATGATTCTCACTGTGGTTTTAATTTGCATTTTTTTGATGATTAGTCATGCGGAGCATTTTGTCATGTGTTTGCTGCATATATGTCTTCTTCTTCCAAGAAATGTCTGTTCATGTCCTTTGCCCACTTTTAATGGGTTTGTTTTTTTCTTGTTGAGCTCTTTGAGTTCCTTGTGGATTCTGGATATTAGGTATTTTTGGGATGCACAGTTTGCAAATATTTTCTTCCATTTTGTAGGCTGTCTGTTTACTCTGTTAATTATATCTTTTGCTGTGCAGAAACTTTTTATTTAACTGAGTTCCATTTGTCTATTTTCATTTTTGTTGCATTTGCTTTTGAGTTCTTAGTTATAAATTCTTTGTGTAGGCTGATGTCCACAAGAGTTTTTCCTAGATTTTCTTCTGAGATTTTTATAGTTTCAGGTCTTAATATTTAATTTTGTATATGGTGAGATTACTTTCATTCTTGTACATATGGCAATCCAATTTTCCCAGAACAATTCATTAAATGGCATGTCCTTTTCAATTTTTGTATTTTCAATATTTATATATTTTTAAGCTTTGTTGATGATCAGTTCATTGTAGGAATGTAGCTTTATTTCTGCATTATCTATTCCATTGATCTATGTGTCTATTTTTGTACCAGTATCATGCTGTTTTTAGTTACCCTAGCCTCGTAGTGTAATCTGAGGTCAGAAAATCTGATGCCTCTAGTTTTTTCTTTTTGCTTAGAATTGCTTTGGTTATGACTATTCAAGTTCTTTTTTGGTTCCGTATGAATTTTAGGATATTTTTTCCTAATTCTATGAAAAATGGCATTGCTAATTTGATAGGAATTGTGATGTATCTGTATACTGCTTTGAGAAGTATGGTCATTTTAACAATTCCCATCCATTAAGATGTGATGTTTTTCTATTTGTGTTATCTATTATTTCTTTCACAAGTGTTTTGTAGTTCCCTTTATAGAGATCTTTCACATATTTAGTTAAATGTATTCCTAACCTTTTTTTGTTTTTGTTATTGTAAATGGGATTGAGTTTTTGACATGGTTCTGTTTGAACGTTATTAGTTAATTGAAATGCTATTGATTTTTTTACATTGATTTTGTATCCTGAAACTTTACTGAAGTCACTTATTAAGTCTGGACATCTCTTGGAGGAGTCTTTAGAGTATTCCAGGTATAAGATCATGTTATCAGTAAATAGAGATAATTTGACTTCCTCTTTCCATTTGGGATGCCTTTTATTTGTTTCTCTTTCCTGATTGCTCTGGTTAGGACTTCCAGTACTATTTTCTATGTTGAATACGAGTGGTGAGAATGGACATCCTTGTCTTGTTCCAGTTCTTAGGGGTAAAGCTTTCAACTCTTCTCCATTCAGTATGATGTTGGTTGTGGGTTTGTCCTACATATATGGCTTATCATTTTGGGATATGTTCTTTCAATGCCTAATTTGTTAAGGGTTTTATCATGAAGGGATGTTAGATTTTATTGAATGCTTTTCTTGCATCTATTGAGACGATTATACTTTTTTTGTTTTTCATTTTGTTTATGTGGTGATTCACATTTATTGATTTGCATATGTTGAACCATCCTTCCTTCCCTAGTATAAAACCCACCTGATCATGATGCATTATGTTTTTGATGTGCTATTGGATTCAGTTTGCTAGTATTTCCTTGAGGATATTTGTATCTATGTTAATCAGGAATATTGGCCTGTTGTTTTCTTTTATGGCTGTGTCCTTGTCTCATTTTGCTATCAGAGTGATACTGGTTTCATAGAATGAGTTAGGGAGGAATCTCTCCTCTTCAATTTTTTGGTATAGTTTACATAAGATTAGTACTAGCTCTTCTTTGTAACTCTAGTAAAATTTTGCTCTGAATCTATCTCATTCTGGGCTTTTTTGTTGGTAGTGATTTTTTATTATTATTACTGATTCAATTTCATTACATGTTATCGGTCTGTTCAGAATTTCTATTTCTTCCTGGTTCAATCTTGGGGACTTGTGAGTTTCTAGGAATTTATCCATTTTCTCTAAGTTTTCTAGTTTGTGCACGTAGATGTGCTCATAGCTGACTGGTTAATCGTGAATTGTGTGTTACATGAAAAGTTAACAAGACAGATACTCATCAAATTAGGTAGGGTACTTCCTGGTGCAGAATTAAGAAAAAAAAAATAACAACCAGGTACATCAGGTCCTCAAGCTTTCAAGTTCAATTCAAAACCAGATTTTAAAATTCATCCACCTAAACAAGGTCATAGATAATTCATTCACACTAACTAGAAACCAAAAAACCCATACTCTCATCAGTCAAAGATAAACATGCAAGGAGAAAACAAGTAAGACTAATTTGATAAGGCATATAGAACAGTATATAAATACAAAGAGGCGCTTCATACAACAAATACAAGCAGGGCATGGTGGCTCAAGGTGGGTGGATTGCTTGAGTCCAGGAGTTTGAGACCATTTTGGGCAACGTGGTGAAACCCTCTCTCTACTAAAAAATAAAACACAAAAATTAGCTAGGTGTGGTGGCACACACCTGTAGTTCCGGCTATTCACGAGGCTGAGGTGGGAGGATCACTTGAACCTGGGAGGCAGAGGTTGCAGTGAGCCATGACTGCACCACTGCACTCCTGCCTGGGTGCCAGAGCAACACCTTGTCTAAAAAACAAAAAACAAAAACAAAACAGAAAAACAGATAAAGATCCCATTTTGGAAATTGATTAACCACCGAAATCCAAAACAAGTGTAGCCAACTTCTTAACAATGTCAAGAAATAATAATTTTAAAAAACATTAATTTAATGAAATGAGTTTTCAATGGTGAGGTGCTAAAACAACAGAAGAAAATGTAAAAGAAGTTGTCAGGAAAAAAAAATGAAAAAGCAAAACAATATCATCTCTCAATCAAACAACATATTAAAAACAGTGAGGATTAAAATTGGCCACACACAAAACCAAATCAGTTATGTGCAGAATAAGGTTAAGAAAATCAAAGTAATGCAAACAAAAATAATAAAAAGATGAATGATTAGAAACAAAATGACAGATGTGGAAATCAAATTGTAGAATACAACACACAGAGATGATCATGTCTCTGAAGAAGAGAGTAGTGCAAATATAGCATAAAAAATATTTCAAATTTAAAATAAAAGAGGAAAAAAAAAATTTCCTAAAATGAAGAAGGAGCTGAACTACCCAAGGAGTTGGTTAAAACATTGTAGGAAATTTAATGGAATGTGATCAGGAAACAACTTATTCAAATGACATTTCTAAATTTTAAGAAAAAATTAATAATAGCAAAAATAAAGTCAACATTTATTGCCAGGGCCATGAATTATCTCACTTAAGTAATTAATGAAAGAAAAATAAATTCTTATTTGGTAAGTAATATCATTTCCCCATTTTACAGAAAAGTAATGTGGCCAAACTCAACCAAGCAAGTAGAAATGGATTTAAGTTTAGAAGTCAGAGCTGTGCCATTACAGAGGCTTTCTTAGGTACAGTCTAACCAATATTCTATAAGATACTAGAAAATAAACTTCTCATCTGCTTCTCACCTGGCTGTTCTCAGAACTCTTTCAAATGAGACATAGGTTTTTCTTTAAGAAGAGATTGTCTATTGTTTTTATGGTGACCAATCTTTCCTAAAATCCCAGTTTTCTTCAGAAGCCACCAGCTCCCAAGTAGACCATGTGACTCAGTAGAAGCTGATCCTTAACCCAACACCAGGAGTGGGCTTGTATTAGTTTACATCAATCATAGATGTCTTAGCTCTTTCGTCAGAAATTGGTTAGGGAATCTTTTCTTACATCAATCAATGTATATTACTTTCTGATGATGGTTATGAGTTCTGATGATATTAGTATTTCACCTAATTTGGACCAATGAGACTGAATGAAAGAATATTATATTCTATTGTTTCTGGGACAGAATTTTCTTTTACTTGTACTGGAAATGAACCAGGGAGCTCATTGCCTTGTTTACCACTGACAACCATCTTATGACCATGAGAAAAGGTCGTCTGAGGAAATAAAATGAAACAAAGTGCATACCAATGAGGGAAAAGGAGTTGGAAGATCAGATAAATGGAGCTAGAGCTTAGACCTATCTTACTTACAGACTGTGGGTTCTGTGAGATAAAAGTGTCTTTACTTTAGCCATTTTAAGTCAAGTTTTTTTATAGTGATTTGACAAAGTTATTTGCATTGATAACACACAGGTGCACACACACACACACACACACACACATATATATATATATATATAAAAACATGTATATATACATATACATACATACACAATATTCATGTTAATGAATGTCAAGGACACCATACTACCTGGGATTTAGCCTTAGTAATGCACTTTGGTACCCAGAGAAACAACTTTTTCTTCCAGATTTAAAGTTATAATGGAATGCTAAAAGTAGCCTACATCCATTGATGGAAAAACTAACTTATTCTCGCCTTTTCTGTGACAATACAAAACTAAATTTTTGTCAATTACTATAGAAAAATAAGTAAAGGAATATGAGTAAATAATAAATTTGCTTTAAAATAAGAAAGCATAGAGGGATATTATTTCAGTAGATGTTATGAAGCAGGACTATATTTTCATTTTTCTAGCCTCTCTATTCTTTTATGATACATGCCAACTCAAAATCCTGCTATGCTTCTGGTTCCCATTACAAATGGTGACATTAACTAATGCTGAAACATTAGCAGCCAATCCCAAACTTCCTGAAGCTCTGTGAAACCCAGTCTGTAGATAGTTTTACTGCTTCTTTTTTGCCTGCCAGTTACTGAAGTGATGTCAGCAACATCCCGGACAGCACAATAGGTAGAAAGAGAGGAGCATTTTTGAGTGTCAGCCTCTAGATTTAGAGAAAGTATAAAATTAACACATAAAAAAGATGAGTTGGAGCCACTGGGGTTAGGATTTGATTCACATGGCACCTCAACAGCAGAACAACAATCTTTGATTTCCTTTCTATCTTGGACACTGACAGTTGTTCCCAGACCAATGTTGAAAGAGTGGTAGTAAGAAATGAGGCATCATTAGTTTAGGGACTTTCTATCGTATTGAACTTCTTAGACCTTAGTTTGGTCTGATGAAAACAGTATCCTTGTTACAGAAATATTTTGGTTAAAAGTAATATATCTCCTCTTGTTTAAGCAGCTAGGGACAGAAATGTTTATGTTTGCTCATGGCAAATTTGAGCAGGAGAATCTAGTGGGATCAGATCATGTGTAGGCTGTGTTGAAGATTTTGAGCTTTTCTAAGAGCAATTATAAATAATTTGTAACTCGTATATGGCATGAAAGAGAGGCTTTGGGTCAAATATGAGTCCCAGGAATTTACTCAATAGCAACCAGGCAGACTTTAGAAGGGTTGGGATTTTAAATAAAGACCTCTGCATTAGCCCCAATGTTACAAAGCATTTTAACAACAACCAACTAAAAAAAAGATACATGTGTCAATAATTTGGGTGAAAGATAATATGCTTCAATTTCATTCTACACAAATGATGTTATAATTCAATTGTATAATTAATACAAGGACATTTTTGTGAATTTGAGGACTCAGGAATTCTATATATACCCTTCCCACAAGCTCTATTTATTACTGCAACTAAGTACTAACCCAGAAATACCCCAAAATAAAGAAGACACAAATAGGGACATGTGCTGTAAAAGACAAACAGCAGGTATCCAGTCTTTGTAAACAAAGAACTAAGCCCAAAAATATTTAGTAATTATATGTGTAATACAGGATGTAGATTTCAAAGTTCTTGAATAAAAGACCATGTAATAAAAATAACAAAATGCATTAAGAAAAACATCACAAAACAGACCACAAACATCTGGAAAGATAATTGGAAGAGGGTGTGTAAGGGGACAATTTATTTTGATTTTTATATAAGGAATAAAACATTTTGCTTCTGATATGCAGTTAATAAATTAATAAAGATGGATTCAATTGTGTTATTTAAAGTTATAAGTGTAATGAATAAAATAAACATGTTATATATCTCCTCAATCATAACAAACGAGAAGAAATAAAAATATTGCAGGCCGGGCGCAGTGGCTCATGCCTGTAATCCCAGCACTTTGGGAGGCTGAGGCGGATGGATCACAAGGTCAGGAGATTAAGACCATCCTGGCCAACATGGTGAAACCCCGTCTCTACTGAAATACAAAAAAATTAGCCGGGCGTGGTGGCGTGTGCCTGTAGTCCCAGCTACTCGGGAGGCTGAGGTAGGGGAATCGCTTGAACCCAGGAGGTGGAGGTTGCAGTGAGCCGAGATCACACCACTGCATTCCAGCCTGGCGACGAGCAAGACAGTTGTCTTGCTCAAAAAAATAAATAAATAAAAAATATTGCAAAAGGTAAAAATTAGAAAATTTCAGTCTTTTAGTTAATATTTATGGAGCTACTATTTTACCCACACTTTGTTTAGAGATACAATGACCAGAAAAATCATCCGCTTTCCTTTCTCTACGGAACTTAGAAACTACTTTTGGAATAAAACATTAAATGAATAATCATTATGCATTATAATCAGAATTATAATCATGACTCACTAATTGTAATAGCCACCACATGCAAGTAAATTCTCAAACATATGACTGGAAGAGATGAAGTGACCTGGAGGTAGGGATGGTCTGCAGGAAGACAGCAGTGATTTGATGGTGAAGAAGAGGAGAAAGCAATTCAGTCTGTGAAAGAAGCTTGAGTGGAAGTCCTCAGGGGAGGAAATAGAGTGGTGAGGAAACTAAAATGATGTGTGTATGATAGTAGAAGTACAAAGACAATAATGACATTCGATGTGCCAGAAAAGAACAGAAGAGAACGAATACTTGTGGCAAACTGTGTTGTTCCCAAGAACCAACTTCCTTCCTGCTATGGGTCTTATGCTTTCGGCTCCTGTCCTGTGGCTTGCTGCGCTTTTCCACAGGGCAGGGTTCATTCTGGTTCTATTGTCAGCTGTGCTCTTGAGACTTGCTATAGTCAGTGGAATGGGATTGTATATGGTATGTACCACTTCTGAGCAAATCTTTACATGGGTTTTGTGGATCAGTTTGTATGTCTACCTTTGACAGACAGGGGCAGATTCTTCAGCCTGGGTCCTAATATAAGGATGTTCGTGGAATTCAGGCCAGCAACAAAGACCCTGAATTGCTGCCATAATACAAGGAAAAACAGCAACAATTTGAATGTTGTATGCCATCGAGAGTTTGAAATTTGTTCAGTTTACACATTAACCCAGCAAAAGTCCACTGAAACAATATGTAATTCATATTTTGGCAAAAGAAATAAAATAAAAGCTTTCTCCCACCCAAAACACCATGGATCATGATTATAGATATGGATTTATAGACACACAGAAAATTATTTAACAAAATGTTGTTTATGGGTTATATCTAAGTGTTGGTTTCTCTGTCCTATTTTCTTACATTTTTTATTGTATCTTGTGAAATATGTGGAAATATTATGAATTTTTTTATCTCCCACTAATAGAAAAATAAAAGAAGAGTGTTTTAAAATATATTTTAAATAAAATTTATGTAAAGTAACAATGTTATTATATTTATGATAGTTGCCAGAAAATGAGGGGAAAGAAAATGTTATTGCCATGATGAATGGTATTTATCACGAGGCAAATAAAAAGCTGTGCTTCTCCAAATTTAACATGTGTCAGAAACACCTGGAGAGCTTCTTAAAGCACAAATTACTAGGTAGGTCCCAATCCCAGGATTTCTGATTCCTTAAGTATGGAGAAGAGCCTAATAATTTGCATTTCAGCTATTTCCCAGGTGATACTGGTACTTCTCATCCAAGAACACACTTTGAGAACTAATATATTAAATAGTCTGACCCAACCATCTCTATGTAAGAATTTTATTTTGGTTTCATAATTTCAAAAAAAAATGAGTTAATTTGATTGTTCTTTTAGCCAAACAAGTACCTGAGAAACATTGGATTGTTTGCCTCTATGTTTCTATTTCTTTTCTTAGGTATGGTGGTTAAGTAAATATTTGAAGCCAGATGAGTTAGTTCTAGTAAAACAACTTTATTTTTGTAAGTGTACATCCTATTAAACATATTTGAAGGGTTAGGAATTATGACAGACACACATATACACATACAAAAACACAGACACACATTTCCCTACTGCCCATGGGAAAGTTACATTTCATAGATCACACATTGACTTTATGATTTTAAATAACCATCTCTGCTACTGTAATGGTCGTTTTCCCTTTTCTTTTGACTTACAATTTTTCTCCAGGCATTTAACATCTTTGACCTCATGGATAATCAGTTCACAAATATCCTACAGAACTAATTTCTAACTTCAGATTCTCTTATAAAATGAAAAGGCATCATTTTCACAGCAGTAGCCAGGAAAAAATGAGCAAATTACTGTTTTACTTTGCAGAAACTAGAATATTGTTGAATTCCATTCTTCTATTAGAAAAGAATGAAAGAGGAACAAAACAAGGACTTGGGAGGTTACAATTTTTTTCCAGTGTATCTTCGTTAAAGCTTGTAACAGCATTGAAGCTTTATCACACAGTATTATTTTCAATGTCAAGATCTAGTACCCCATTAAAGCATTTTGCCAGAGGAAAAAGTTGTTCAAAAGTACATAAAATGCTAGGTGATCCGCCTTTGGTGGAACTTGACTTCCGGAAACATGTAAAATGCAACTGTCTTTTATTAAATTGAAATGGAGAGGTCTGGGCAGGAGCCTTGTGGGGATAGAACACTCAAGCCTCTGAGTCAAAACCATACAACATTTCTTGTTATCACTGAACAGTTGTCCTTCTAACTCAGTAACAAGAGAAGCATTAATAGCCTTTGAAAGGTATCCAATACAATTTGCCTTAAAGACAGTTATGTTGGCAAATCCATGGATTTTCTAAGGAAAAGTACAATTAAAACTGGGATATTGAGCAGGTATTCACAATTCATAGAATTTTAGTGTTAGAAAAACCTCTCTCAGTCTCTACTTTCAAAGCTAAACAATAAGTTCCTCTGCAATGAGAATCGTGAAAGCAAATTTAAGTTGTAGTCTCTTCAAGAAACCCCACAGAACCTGATTGCAAGGGAGAAAGTTTTCTGCATTACTTTTTTTTTCTTTAGTAAGTTTCCCCTAGCCCACTATGACTTGGGAACAGTCTTCAATGTGCCTATTTGAAGTTAGAATTTCAGATCTTCATTAATATTTTTCTCTTGTACCAGGATGATTCATGCTACAGTGCCTTTGCTAATTAAATTAATAGCTACAAATGCTTACCAAAGAGATTAACTTATGCACTGCCCTCCCTAGAAGAGCTAGTTGCTAGGCAGCCCTGGGTGAAAGCTTGGCATCTAGCTCCTTTTCTCTCAGGACAGAGACTGCTATGCATCCTCGACTGGGAGAATGAATGCTACAATGCTTTCACTAAAAGCATTCACCTTCATCTTTACATCTCAATTGCTCCATTTTAATTATTTTAATCACTTAGTGCATTCTAGTGTTTCAAGCCTATTTAATCTGGAGTATATTTTGTCTCATGCTTGTGGACCTGTTTCATTGTCTTATCTTATTCTTGTCTCATCTTATTCTTGTCTCTTTACAAGCATCAATCCTATATTGCACACGGCTTTCCTACCATAAACAGGCATACTTTATGACTATTCAACCATTTTACAGAAGTAGTAATAATACTGATTTTTGCATATTACTTCAACCTGTAAAACTACATATTGCCAAATATTTGTTTAGTGTAACTCCTGATTTCCCACATTACCCCATTCTTTATTTTTTGAAATTGTATCCTTTGTTATTTTTTCTCCCACTACTATATCTATAGATAGTACAGACACTGGGTGTTCATACTAAAGATAGATGTGGCAGATCTTTCATGCTCTAGAATGTACTTTCTGTTGCTAAATTTGCTGCCAGCAAGTTTGTGACTTGTGAAAGTTGGCCTTAACCCAAACTTGAATTGACATTTGTTCTCTTTTGCAGGCAGGTGGTTCTTCTAAATTTTAAACCAAATAGAAAGGAACAATAAGTATTTGCATAATCAAGGTTATAAAAACTGAGTTATGAATGCAAAGCATGCTTATAAATAGTACAATATTTTAAAAATACTTTTCTAATACTAGTCTCCTCCAGAATGATCAAGGAAATCCTATGCAAGTGGGGTTTCCTGGAGAAACTTAAATCTTGGTCAAATAGCTTATTTCATTGAACACAACCAACCAAAGCCCTGAGGCAAAATGTCTGGTTCATGCCTACCTGGTTCTAACATAACCTCTGCCTCCATCTGCCATCTATACTATATTACTTTACTTTATACTTGGTATGCGTGTGGGTTCATCTCTAAGTGTATGTGTGTGTATGTGTGTGTACATGCCTGTAAGTAGGAGTGTGGGGGAAAGTAGCAACAGAAGTACATTGAGGGTCTCCACAGAAAAGCCATGAAAATCACAAGGTTTTGGTAACATTGCCTGCAGTATTCAGTGTATGGCTAACTTTCTTTAGCTAAGAGAATTTGCAATAACTGAAATATGACAAGAGTTTTATATGTGTTCACATAACATGCTAGAAGTGAGAGATCCAGGCTGGCAGGATAGCTTGACTCCAAAGACCATTCAATAGTCTGAGTACATTCTTTCTTTTTTTACTACCCATTAATAACAATCCTCATTTACGTGGTTAAATTGGGTTTTCATATATGATAGTCCATCCCATTGGACAGAAGGAAGAGAATGTGGAGCTCAAGTCAATTTTCTTTTAAGTAAATAAGAAGGAAATTGCGTACATTGTTGCTCATAGAAAAACAAACAAACAACAACAAAAAAAAACAATTGTAGTACCTAGTTGCAAGTGACACTATAAAACGTAGTCTCCAGTAAGGAGCTACATGCCCCAGCTAACACTTTAATAACTTAAAAGAAGGAAAACATTTACTTCTGTAAATGTATCATTCAGAGAAGTAGACCATTCTATTACTATAAAATAAGTTTTATAATAGAAGTGAGATGCTATTATGAGAGGAAATGGATCTGGAGGGGGAGTTAGACAATCAGAGAAAAGTTAAAATCAACCTTCTGAAGGCCATGCATAAGTGGATAAGTAGAATCTTTAAAGAAATCTGGGAAGTGAGACAAAAACCATCCAGTTCAGCAGCAAAGGGGAAAGTTGTTGCCTCTGTGTACCTCTTGGTCCTGTGGGCCCACAGCCATGTGAGACAGAGGTGGCTGTGGTCAGTGAGGCTGACAGTCAGAAAGAAAACCTGGAGGCAAAACAGAGAACAGCCAGGACAAGCATCAACCCACTGGACACTTCTGTGTCTTTTACTGTACCTCTCTGAAAACCATTAGAGATTTATGGCTGTTGTATTGCTTTTGCCTCCTAACTTTGGGTAATGTGTACTTTTGTCCAGTGCTAACCCAAGACCATAAAGGAAAGGAGATTCTAGAACATGTGAACAAGCTGGCAATACAATTGCCCAACTCAGGGAACCACTAGAAGTTGATGACACTGCCTTTATCAGGGGGTTTGCAGAACAAGGACTAAAGTTTTGGATGACATTTTTATAATAAATTTTACCACAGCAAAACTTCCCTAAATAAACAGACATATTTTAGGTCCACTCTTCCTCTATATGAATCTACTGTGTGAATCATAGTTTTTAGGAAAATACACAAAGAATACAAATAAATGAAGGGGAGAGAGGAGAAAACAAAGAGGAGGGAGAGGGCAAGCTGCGAGGAGGGTGGGTGGCAGATCTCAAGTTAATAGAAAACAGTCGTTTAAAAATTCTAAAGTGGCAAATTGATGTTACTTAAAGGCTATCTCTTAATATTTGCACTTTTATATATTTAACACTTAAGAAGTTTTTAATGTAAGGAAATGGAGAAGAAATGAGACTGAGAGATACATAAAACCCTTCAGGAATTGCTTATATTATATTAATCTTAGCAAAAAGCATATTTTCTCAAATAGTATATTTATAATATTTATGGTGTAAAACATTTTAATTTTCTTCCATTATTGTATCTATGATATTGCTAATCCTATATTTTGAAACTAAACAGACTATAGATCAAATTAAAAGAGTAAATAATTCAATGCAATAAAAAATCTTATAAAAACATGTTGGGACAGCTCTATTTATTTGTTATCTCAAAATCAACCAAGAGTAGCAGGCGTCATCTAGACTACAAAGGACACAAGACCTGCCCAAATGTTCCAAAACCACTTTTTAAAGTGAATGTTCTATTTTAGATTTAGATTATTTTGTCATCTAGAAGAGAGAATGTGAGACTTTAGATCCTTGACACCATTTTCTTCAGGCTACACAGAGCTGGGTGAAACTAAGAGGATTAGAAAATTTAGAAAATGAAAATATTCTGTCCCAAATTATCATTGATCTTTGTTTGTTGGCTTTAATTTGGAAAAAGTAATATACAACATACAAAAATAACCTAAAAATTAACTAGGCTCTGAGCAAAATTTGGCTTTAAATCTATTTTTATATAGTACTGGAAGTCTTAGCCAGAGCAATTAAACGGGAGAAAAAAATAAAAGACATCCAAATTAGAAAGGAAGAAGTCAAATTGTCCTGGTATGCAGACAACAATGAAGACAACACGATCTTTTTTTTTTTGAGATGGAGTATCGCTCTGTCGCCCAGGCTGGAGTGCAGTGGCACGAACTCGGCTCACTGCAAGCTCCGCCTCCCAGGTTCACGCCATTCTCCTGCCTGTCAGCCTCCAGAGCAGCTGGGACTACAGGCACCCCGCCACCATGCCAGCCTAGTTTTGTTTTTTTTTTTGTTTTTTTTTTTTGTATTTTCAGTAGAGACTAAGAGACAGTATTTCACCGTGTGAGCCAGGATGGTCTCGATATCCTGACCTTGTGATCTGCCCACCTCGGCTTCCCAAAATGCTGGGATTACAGGTGTGAGCCACCACGCCCAGCCGACAACATGATCTTTTATATAGAAAACCCCAAAGACTCCACCAAAACATGTCACAACTAACAAAAAAATTCAGTAAACTCACAGGATACAAAATCAACATACAAAAAAGGCAATAACATTTCTATATACTAACAGCAAAATATCTGAAAGAAAGATCAGTAAAATAATTCCAATTACATAGAAAAATTAAAATATTTAGGAATAAATTTAACCAGAAGGTAAATGATCTCTAAACTGAAAACTATGAAACACTGATGAAGGGAATTGAAGAAGACACAAATAAATGGAAAGATATTCTGTGTTCATGGATTGGAAGAATTAATGTTGTTAAAATGCCCATACTACTGAAAGCAATGTAAACACTATCAAAACACCAATGACATTCTTTACAAAAAGGGGGAAAAAATCTAACATTCATATGGAAACACAAACAATCTAAATAGCCAAAAGAATCCTGAGCAAACATTACACTATCTGAGTTCAAAATACACTACAAAGCTATGGTAAAAAATAAATAAACAAAATAAAAAATAAAAATAAAATAAAACAGCATGGTACTGGCATTAAAAATAGACTTATTGGCCCAGAGCAGTGGCTCATGCTGGTAACCCCAGCACTTCGGGAGGCCAAGGTGGGTGGATCACCTGAGGTCAGGAGTTCAAGACCAGCCTAACCACATGATGAAACCCCATTTCTACCAAAAATACAAAAATTAGCTGGGCGTGGTGGCGCATGCCTGTAATCCCAGCTACTTGGGACGCTGAGGCAGGAGAATCACTCAAGCCCGGGAGGCAGAGGTTGCAGTGAGCCAAGATCACATCACTGCAATCCAGCCTGGGCAATAGAGTGAGACATCATCTCATAAAAAACAAAACAAAACAAAACAAAACATATTGAGCAATGAGAAATGGAACAGAAGAACCCAGGAATAAATCCACACATCTATGGTCAATTGATTATTGACAGAGGTGCCAAGAACACGTAATGGGAAAAGGATATCTCATCAATAAACGGTATTGGGACAACTGGATATCAACATGCAGACTAATGACATTAGATCCTTATATTAACTATATACAAAAATCAACTCAAAATAGATTAAAAACTTAAATGTAAGACTGAAAACTATGAAACTACTAGAAGAAAACAGGAGAAAAGCTCCATGACATGAATCTGGGCAATATTTTTGTTTGTTTGTTTGTTTTATATGACCTCAAAAGCAAAGACAACAAAAGCAAAAATAGACATATGGAATTACATCAAACTAAGAAACTTTTCCATTGTAAAGTAAACAATCAACAGAGTGAAGGAATAGTTTACAAAAATGGAGAAAATATTTGCAAATTATATATCTGATAAGAGGTTAAGTCCAAAATATATGTAAGGAAATCAAACAACTCAATATCAAAAATACAAATAACCCAGTTTAAAAATGCACAAAAGACCTGAATATATATTTATAAAAATAAAACAAACAAATGACCAAAAGTTGTGTGGGAAAATGTTCAGCATCACTAATTATCAGTGAAATGTACGTCAAAACCACAATGAGATATCACCTCACTCTTGTTAGAATGCTATTATCAAAAAGACAAATTATAACAAATGTTGGTGAGGATATGCAGAAAAAAGAACCCTTGAACACTGTTGGTGGAAATGTAAATCAGTGCACCCATTATGGAAACAGTATGAAGTCTCCTTAAAAAACAACTAAAAATATAACTGAAACCATATGATCCAGCAATCCCACTATTGGGTATATATCTAAAGCAGATAAAACCAGTATCTCAAAGAGATATCTGTATTCCAGTGTTTGTTGCAGCACTATTCACAACAGACAGGATATGGAATCAAACTAAGTGTCCTTAAATGAATGAATGGATAAAGAAAATGTGCTATCCATACACAATGGAATACCATTCAGCTATACTAAAGAAAATCCTTTCATTTTTGACAACATGGATGAACCTGGACGGCACTATGTTAAGTGAAATAAGTCAGGCACAGAAAGACAAATAACACATGATGTCATTCATACGTGGAATCTGAAAAAAATTTATCTCATAGAATTAGAGAGTAAAATGGTGGTCACAAGAGGCTGGGGTACTTGAAGGGATGAGGATAATGGGTGCACTGATTTACATTTCCACCAGCAGTGTTCAAGGGTTCTCTTTTCTCTATATCCTCACCAACATTTGTTATAATTTGTCTTTTTGATAATAGCCATTCTAACAAGAGTGAGGTGATATCTCATTGTGGTTTTGATGTGCATGTCGCTGATAATTAGTGATGCTGAACATTTTCTCACACACCTTTTGGTCATTTGCATGTCTTATTTTTATAAATATATATTCAGGTCTTTTGTGCATTTTTAAATTGGGTTATTTGTATTTTTGATATTGAGTTGGTCAAATGATACAAAACTATAGCTAGATAGGAAGAATAAGTTCAAGAGATCTATTGTACAGCATGGTAACTATAATGACAATATATCGTAATATTGAAAAATGCTTACAGAGTGTATGAATAAGTGTTCTCACCACAAAAACGATAACTATGTGAGGTAATGCATATGTTAATTATCTACATTTAACCATTCAACAAGGAATATATATTATACGTCACAACATCATGTTGTACATGATGAATACAAATTTATCTGTTAGTTTGGAAGAAATTAAAATCATTTATTTTCAATATTTTTGCTTTTAATAGTTTAAAAATGTATTCTTTTTTTTTTAAAAGAAGTGATTGGCAAAGGTCGGTTTTACACATTTACATGGCTATGTATTAAGCAGTCATTTATATGGTATATCTGTATTTATTAGTATAGAAAATTAGTATAATATAAAATTAGAAGGAAAATTGTAAAAAAGGCATGTGTTACATTTTTAATATTTAAATCTTCTATAAAAGGTTTTGTGATTTTTAATATCAACAAGGTAATTGTTCCTTATCAATGGCTTTATTCCTGGTCTCTGAAGAAATGATACTAATATATTCAACTGCCTACTTGACATCTCAACTTCAATGTGTCATAGGCATGTAAATTCATTCTACTATTATGCAAGCTATTGGTATCTTAAAAATGACATGCATATATGCAACTGCTCAAGTCATTAACCAAGGATTTTTCCCTTGGTCCCAACTTTTAATTCATTGGTAATATTTGTTTAAACTCTAACAGTGATCACATTTCAATTATATACATTCTCTTCATTTCCAATAACCTCATCATAGCTTGGAGTATGCTGTCATCATTTCTCCCTTAACCAAAACAAGACCAGGCTCTTAACTTGTCTCTCTTCTTCATTATTTGCCTTTCTGCCATCCTTCACCATCAGAAGCCAGAGTGATATTTTCAAAATGTTTAGTTTCCTATTCCACTTTATCTCTTGGCTTAAAACTTTCCACTGTCTTTTCAGATTGCAGACTTCTTATGCTGATTTATAAAGCCCCACATGATCTGGCTCTGCCTACTTTTGTAATATGTTCTCAAAACACTATTGGATTTGCCTCTTATGTTTAAGCCATGCTAGTTATTCTTTCTGTTCCTTAACTGTGCCAGGCTCCTCCTGCTCTTTGGGACTTTATCTATTGTTTTTCTGTTGGGCTGAATGGACAAATCAATGGTCTGTTTTGGATATTAAAGTCCTTGTGGTAAGATGTTCCAAAGAATTTTCCAGAACATGTTTGTTACAATGATTTATCTTGTTGTTGTTGTTTTTTTTAATTTTATTTGGCATGGAGGGCATTCTAAGAAGAATGTGTGGAAGACTTTTTAACTTACATCATCTTTAAAATTGATCTCAGAGGATTCTATGAAATGTTATGAGCTAAAACAACATGAATAAACATATAACATCCCAAATCCACTTCAGTGAGCACACCCGTAACAGGACTATTCTAGATGACATGCCTGAAAACTGTAAAAGAGAGGAACAAGCTAATGAAAGGGGTTCTAATGCACAAAGAAGGAATTATAATTCAAAAATTCTTGACTTTGACTGTACAATTACACTTTAGGAGATTCTATGATCACTCTTAAATCTTAAGCAAAATATTGTGCATATGAGCATTTTTAAAGGAAAAATATCCTTAATGTCCAGCTGATACACAAATGGGCCTGAAATGCCAACCAAAAATAGACAAAATTCCTATTGCTATAGGAAAATGATTAGAGAAAAATATATATTAATAGCAAGAAAAAATCTAAGAGAAGTTTTATTTCCTTTATAACTAGATATATGACCATACATTCTATTAACAATCATATACACAAATCTGTAGATGGTAAGAAGGATAATGGTATCTTTTTTTTTCAAATATTTAGTGCTTCAACAAAAATGGGAACCCCTGAATCTCAGAAGTATTTCTCTAAATGCAGCAAGCTCATTGTAGTAAGTTTATTGCTAGATCCCAAATTCTTTTTTTGTTGTCATTGAGATGATTATTACTATTCTGCTATAACATACAAGCTTGAGTTTTTATTCATAGAAATTTTAAGATCTAAGTTTATTATGCTATTTCTCAGACAAATATGCAAAAATAAAATATAATTGCTACTGATTCAAAGTCTATTCCTATGCAAAAATTCATGTTTATTGAAAATTATAATGCAAATTTAAGTTATGCAGCTCTGCGTTGGGCTTCTTTAGTAACTGAGCATTTTTTTGTTTTTAGCTATAAATGTCTATATAAATTAGAATAATATATCTATATTTTATCCATAAATGCCTCCATAAAGTGTGACTAATGTTTCTAATGTGATATTATAATGTTGGTAAAAACAGAATCCAAGCAAATCCTTATAAAAGTAAAGAAAATAACTGCCAGAGCTTTTGTGGCAGCCTCTCTTTTTGATATTGTCTGAAATAACACTTCTGATTCCCCAGCAATGCATTTCTAAGTTACTCGAAGTTATTCCTGTCTATTCAAAGTACTTAACACTTTTTTTTCCTAGACTTTATCTTCTAATCCTTTTATTGAATCTTTTGTGTCCTTTTCTCATCCACTCCTTGAATTTTCACAATGCTTTCACACTCTTGACAGAAGTACTCTAAAGTTGTTTATAGGTTTGTACCTTTGCTGAAATTACAAAGTAGTTCAAACCACAGAGATATAACACAAGGAGAAACTGTCTAAGGAGCATAAAGTTGAACTCCTAAAGTAACTACATTAAGTGGAAAAGTAAATGAACAAATCAGATACCACTGCAAGAAATCAGTTGATGCCTAATTATTTCTAGCACATCTGTGGAGAGGTTGTTGAATTAATTTTATTCATAAAAGTTAAGATTCTACATTTCTTGACCTAGTGAAGAGTCTGACAATTTTCAGAAAACCCAGCTGATCTCTTTAGGTAGCTATCCAGTCCCATATTCATGAAGCTACTAAGTTAAGTTATAAATTATAATTGAGGTTCAAAGTACCCATGTTATCTCTTGCATATTGGTACATTTGAACAGAAGTGGGGGTTTTCAGGAGCTAAAAGGAAAAATTCAAATTTCTGATTTCCATTCAGACTGACCAAATAAACACTTGATTTTGAGTTCAGATATAGAATAAGTACTACTCATTTTAAACCATGATCTAAATTGAACTTTTCTTTCTGCATAGCCCCCTTTTTCCTTGCAATTCCTACATTAGTTGTCAACTTTTCCAACAATTCAGTTACTTAGGTCAGAAAACTTGAGTTCCTCTCTATTTCACTTTCTCTCTATGACACCATTTCCGACAAAGTACCAAATAGCATGTCTTTCTTTTTCTCATATGTCACAGACCCATCTTCCTTTGTCCACCTCACTGGCACTGCCTTAATTGGCAATCTTATATCTCCCAAAGAATATTTTATTAGTTTTTTGTTTTGTTTTGTCTGTTTCCAGGTTTAAAACTTCCTACAAGATGTTATATTTTACTGTCAAATGGAATGATTTCAGATGTACACCTAATGTATCACTCCAATAAAAACACTTGTTCTAGTGATCCATTTCTTCAGCCACTAAAAACAAATAACAAAAGTAAAAAAATATCTGCAGGTCATCTATGTTCCACAAACTGAACTGGGCTCAAGGGATTTAAAAAAAGTAAAAATAAAGAGAATTTGCCTGCCTTCAAGGGGTCCACAGTCTGATAGCTTTCCATTGTAAAATGCCCCAAGGCAAGTACCTTATCATAGCATAAAAGACCCTCAAGAATCTGATGCTTTTTCCCTCTTGAGGATAATCTCTAGGCTTGTTATAATTAAAGCAATGCTGACATATTTATACTTCCAGGAACACACATTGCTATTTTGCTTATTTGTTTCTCCATAATTTTTTTCCTCCATCCAAAATACCTCGCCCTGTTTTTAACTGTGTAATTACTATTCTTTTTTCATAATGTGTACTTACTCTATGAAGCTTTTTCTAAACTCATCTTTCCCTAACACAAATTTCCTATATACAACCTTTATTTCTTATATATAGTTTTTTATTGTATTTGGTAAAGTAGTATTATTTGCTCTTTCTTATGTCCACCTTCCCTGCTAGATAGTGAAAAATTAGCTTTCTGGGAGTAGAAATTCTTACATTTGACTCTCTAGCACTTAACAAAGAGCCTAGAAGATTGCACACAGTTTAAATATATGGATAAACATTGTTAAGCTGAGCTATTGTTCTAACTTCTAATTCCACTCCATTCAATTATGTTCAGTTTATCAAACACAGAGAGCTTCTGATATATTCATATGTATATTGATTATTCATTGTAGTAGAGACAGGTGCTAAAAACAAATAGTTCTTTCTTCCTAATGCCTTCTATTCTGACCAGAGGGAACATGCTGAAAATTTTAATAAATTAGAATTTCACAGAAATTTTAAATACTCAGAAAGTTTCCACTATATGGAAAACATTTTATTAGATAAAGCAAACTTGATAGCATATAACTTCCAGATATATTTCACATATCGTTTCTTAATCTGGTATCATGGCAAGAAATTACAAAAGGTTAATTAACAAGATGAATATATGATATTTATATTTTAAAAAGGGAGATAGTCACAGAATTACTGGAAAGTCTTATTTGAAACCTATTCACTGAGAAAAGGCATGGCAGCGTTATTACTTGACTCAAAGAATTACTCATAGGTGAAATGTTGGGGGTTAATTACCCTGATTTCCAGTCTCTCAGATTTCCCAAGCCTGCATGACATGTGCCAAGCCTTCAGAGTATAGATATACTCTCAGGCCTTCCTAAGCAGAGCCATCAATATTTTTTTCCCACGGTTGTTGACTCTGGCCTCTGATTATTCTGTCTTTTTTGATTCTAGTATCTAGGAGTCACATGCCACAATAGATGATGATGAAAATCAAGTTTCCTCTTTACCAGGGACATATATGAAGGTTTACAGCCTCTCTACTATCCGTGGAATAATGGAGACCTGAATTTTACTAGTGCTCATACTCTTGTTTTTCTCTTTCATTGACCCTCTAAAGACACATAAACCTGTTCTGTAAGCCAACCTCATAGCACTCTGAGTTACCTTCCAATAAGATTGGACTAGTTACATTTATTTCCTTCAAGGATTACATGGATCTCCTCCAGGGCCCTATTGTATATCCCTGAGAAGAGAGGATTGCTATTTGGAAACAGTATTATTGCTAACCAGAGAGTAAAAAATTTCTATTTTTTTATCTCCAAATTTATTCTACATTTTGTGACAGTTAAATTAGATTTCAACCCCAATGGCAGAGCTCCTTTTGGGAATAGTGTAGTTTCCAGCGGATTTTAAATGTCAAGGGAAAGTTCATCAGAATACTCTCAGACATGTTTCTTCAAACACTGAATTTGGACAGAGGGTAAAGTCAATGTCAAATGTCTATTTTTTTCACAGACTTCATTCAAAACTGGGATAGGAATGTAGAAAGTTGAAAAAGGTTGCAGAGACAGGAGGGCAAGGGATGTTTAAAGCATTTTTACCTAAGCACCTGGTTGTATGAGTTCATGGCTTTGTGCTCTCAAGAAGCTCTCAGCTGCACATTAACAAAGGGTTGAAGAGTGCTGAATTTCAAGACAGATATTTATTCAGCCCACTAGAAATGAGGCTGCAAGCCAAGTGAAATGAAAAGATGCCTGTCCAAAATCCAAGAATTTTTTGTATATCCACAGAAGGAAAGTGAGCTAAACATAGAAATACTACAAACTACTATTCTTAACGCCTTTGAGATGAACAAAAGACTCCTTAAGAAACATTGTTAATACAACTTTCACCAGGAGGCTGGGCCTAAAGAAATAATAGTGGGGGAAAGGGAAGGGCTTGATTTCTGTCTTTTAAATATTCCAGATACATATTGAACTTAAAAATAAGACAAAATAAAAATTACATTTAAAGAAATCACCTTGTAAATATCTATTTCACAGTTAGACCTGCTGTAGTCATACTGTAACCATTAAAAAAAAAGGTCACAGAAACATTGTCCTTCCTTGGTTGCTCACTGTCTAGTCAGTTAATCATAACTAAGATGATGGTATGACCTAGTTTAGCCAGAACAAGCCTAGTTTATTTCAATTACCCTGGCAAAAGAAGGCCTTCTGTCTCCTTCAAAAGTGTTGCAGTTTGGACAATACATGATATGATCCCTCCAACTATGACAGATATCCTGACTTTACATACTGTTGTCAAATATAGGCTCTCAGCCAGTGTGCCTTCATTTATTCTGGCAATTCAATGTTAAGCTTTTGTTGGCATATGAAGGACAACACCAAGATTAGAGGCAAGGAGTATCACAGCTTTCTAATATATAGTAATTATAATATTCAAAATTTCCTGCGTGTTTTTTTTTTCTTAATTTTTTGGAGAGAGGGTCTCGCTCTGTTACTGAGGCTGGAGTGCAATGGTGCGATATTGGCTCACTGCAACCTCTGCCACCAGGGCTCTAGCAATTCTCCTGCCTCAGCCTCCTGAGTAGCTGGGACTACAGACAGGCTGCATCATGGATGGCTACTTTTTGTGTTTTTTGTAGAGACAGTGTTTTGCCATGTTGTCCTGGCTGTTGTCCAATACCTGAGCTCAGGTGATCCACCAACCTCAGCCTCCCAAAGTCCTGGGATTACAGGCATGAGCCACCGCTCCTGGCCTGTTGCTTTTTAAAATTATCAAGAACTCACCTATACATTAATTATTCATTACACGTTTCATTATATTTGCCACAAGCAGATTATATGGTAGGCCCTGAGGCACAAAGATTTAGGCACAGAACTTTCCATGAAACAAGTTATTTCTAGTGGGAACAGACTAATAAGGAAGTAAGCAATTATTTATTGTATCATTTCTATGACTAAGGCATACACAAATTGCTTGCAATTGGAATAGGGAAGAGCCATCTATTTTTTTTTTTTTTCCAGATGGAGTCTTGCTATTTGCGCAGGCTGGAATGCAATGGTGCGATCTCAGCTCACTGAAATCTCTCCCTCCCGGGTTCAAGTGATTCTCCTGCCTCAGCCTCCTGAGTAGCTGGGATGACAGATGCCCACATCATGACCAGCCAATTTTTGTATTTTTAGTAGAGTTGGGGTTTCACCATGTTGGCCAGGCTGGTCTTGAAGTCCTGACATTGTGATCCACCCACCTCAGCCTCCCAAAGTGCTGGGATTGCAGGCGTGAGCCACTCTGCCTGGCTGGGGAGAGCCATCTCTTCTAACATGAGGATGAGGTAAAGGTTATGGGTAAGGAGTTCCAAGGGAAATAACCCTGACAGAAAAAGATAAGAAGTAGCCAGACACATAAAGAGAAAGGAAGCCAGGAAAGACATCTCAAGCAAAATGATTAGCAAATAAAAATACATAGGATGAGTAAGAACCTCCAGAGTTTACTATAAGTGGTCAGGAATAGAGCAGGAGACATAAGCAAAGTTTCCATCATGAACCTTGGATTAATAAGGGGACTTTGATTACCATCAACAGCAACTGACTCTTACTGAAGGAAAAACAACAACAAAACTAATTGGAATCATTCCCTATATCTCTTAGAATCAAAGTAAAACCTGAGGACCTAATCCCCAGAAAGAATTTTGAAAGGTGAAAGGATTTAACTGGAGATAAAAAAAAATTACAAAAGAGGTTTTTTGACTTTTTAGTAGCAGCCATTCTGACTGGCATAAGATTATATCTCATTGTGGTTTTAATTTACATTCATGTGCCAAAGAGTTTATCCCACATTTTCTTCTAGGATTTTTATAGTTTTGGCTCTTCTGTTTAAGTTTTTATTCCATCTTGAGCTAAATTTTGTATATGGTGAGAGGTAGAGGTCCAGTTCTATTCTTCTGCAATACGGCAAGACAACTTTCCCAGCATCATTTATTGACTAGGGTTTCCTTTCCTGTTGTTCATTTTTGCTATGTCAAAGATCAGTTGGTTGTAGGTATGTGGCTTTATTTCTGGGTTCCTCATTCAATTCTACTGATCAGTGTGTCTATTTTTATACCAGTACCATGCTGATTTAGTTACTACAGCCTTGTAGTAAAATTCGAACTCAGGCAATGTTATGTCTCCCAATTTTTTACCTTTTGCTTAAAATGCCTTTGGCTATTCAGGCTCTTTTTTTTAGTTTTATGTGCATTTTAAGATTGTTTTTTCTACTTTTGTGAAAAATGACATGAGCAGTTTGATAGATATTGCACTGAATGTGTATATTGCTTTGGGAAGTGTGGTCATTTTAATGACAGATGTTGGTGTTGATATGGGGAAAAGAGAACATTTTGACATCATTGATGGGAATATAAATTACTACAACCTCTGTGGAAAACAGCATGGAGATTTCTCAAAGAACTCAAAACAGAGCTACCATTTTACCCAGCAATTCCACTACTGGATATCTACACAAAGTAAAAGTTATTGCTATATTAAAAAGACATCTACATTTGTATGTTTATCACAGCACTATTTACAATAGCAAAATCATGGAATCAACCTAATTGTCCATTAACAGTTGACTGGATAAAGAAAATGTGGTATATATACACCATGGAATACCATGAAGCCATTAAAAAAACACGAAAACTTGTCCTTTGCAGCAACATGGATGGAGCTGGAGGCCATTATTCCAAGTAACTAACTCAGAAACAGAAAAATCAAATACCACATCTTCTCACTTATAAGTGGGAACTAAGAAATAGGTACACATAGCCACAAAGATGAAAATAATAGACACTGGAAACTCCAAAAGTAGGAAAGGTGGAAGGGCTGTGAGAAAATTATCTGTCAGGTATAATGTTCACTATTTGGGTAATGGGTACACTAGAAGCCTCAATCCCCAACATTATGCAATATACCCATGTAACAAACATGCACATGTACCTCTGAGTCTAAAATAAAATATTTCAAAAAGGGGCTTAAGGGGAGATGGACGAGGGAGAATCTCAGTGAATAGAGCCCTCTGAATTAACCTATAGTAGCACATTCATCTCTCAGTTAAAAAAAAACCAAATTACAAAAGGTGAAAAGATTTCACCAGAGATAAAGGGTAGGAGCGTGGATTCCACAGCTCCAATTATTTTCCATTCTTCTGTTATTTTCCTCAAAATTTAAATTCCCAGAAGGTAAAGCATGATTTGACTAGTATTAGTGACACGGCCAAGCTAGTTCCCTAGCCCAAGGAAGCTACAAGCTTTGTAGAAGGAATAATCACGAAAGGAAAATCAAGGCACCATTACCATGGAAGTGAGGATTAATGTTGGCCCAATGAAAAGTACAGATTCCCTCCTTTGGAATTACCCCATAAAGTTTGCTTTTCTATCTCATAGGACTTGAGTCCCAACAAGACAGCCTACATTACAGAAGGTGCAAATAACAGGAGAAAAATCAAGGTGCTATTACCAGGCAAGTGAAAATTGATATCGGTGTTATGAAAACAGCAGAGATTCCCTCTTTTGTGGATACACTGCAAAGTTTGGGTTTCTATCCCTTGGGATTTGGGAAATAAACAAAGCACATGGTTCCTTTGTGTTTTAGAAAAATATCTGTGATGGCAGAATACACATAGCTTGCAAGCTGTCAGGATTCAATCAAGGACAAACCAACATAGCTAGTTTCCTTAATATATAAGTAAAAAGCATATGAAAATGTATTCTCATAGATGTGATCCAAATTCCTCATACATGGACATAATCTTTAAGGTAACTAGTTTCTTAAATTAGTTACCTTAAATGTTTGGCTATATAATATGCAGTTTATATACATATACGTGTGTGTGTGTGTTCCATTTTTTTGTTATGAGCCTTTGTTATGTGACATCAGGAACAAATTTTCAAGTTTTGCAATGAAAGACAGAAATGACGAATTAGGCAATGAGATAAAGTACTGCCTAAAAGTAGTGTTAAACAACGTGGTTATTTATCAGTCAAACTAGAGCTGCATTCAGAAGAAATGTAAACTGAGAAGAAAAGAGACATGAAATAAATCGAGGTATCAAATTTTCAAGTTATTGTGGTTATCATAAGGAATCATATGTACTATACTGCCTTTGTATTTAGAGCAAAAGTAAAACTGCAAACTACTCATATTTTTAAAAATCACTTTCGGTGGAGAGCATCATAAAAAGAAAACAATTTATTGCTGGCTTGTAAAAAGGTAAATTAGTTTCACTGAGTTAGGCAAAACCTTCCTGGTTGTCCAATCTAATTGCACACTCACTTAAAATCAATCCTAATATCTCAAACCAAGGCAAGGGCATGGTCACTATTCCCTTCATTTCTTCTTTGTTTCTGACACTTCTTTGAAAATTCATCCCATGTTTTCATTTCCTTGTGTTATTTTTAAGTTAAAGATAATTAGGGTTAGGATATGTCAAAACAGTAAAATCACAGATCTCTTAAATTTAATATTAATTAATGTATAAAATCTATTTCAGTAGCCAATTGGCTTATAATTGAATAATACTGTTTACTACAGTTTCTAAAGTTACTAGCTTTTTGTTGGCTGTTCAGGTTATTATTTCTTGATATATCCATATATATATTTTATATATATCTTGACGAATATATATATATATTTCTAGTAGGCTTTTTTATTCTTAAAAGTTTCTGCTTATAGAACTGCTGAACTCATAGAGACCAGATAACAAGTTATGTTTGAATTATTTATCAAATTATTTCAAATAAGCTAATAGGATGGAGGGGGAAAGAATGATTGGGGGGAGCTGTAGTCCTGAGAGTAAAAAGCATTACCATTTTTGTTTGTATAACAGGTGGTGCACCCATGCATATAAATAAACCATGCTCAGGAATCAGTTCATACAGCATGCTGCTGACCTGCTTTTCTATTTTAGATCCCACATCATGACTACAATAGTCAGGTGAAATCCATTTAGTCTCTGCACAGGTCCATAAAAATATATGTGTCTCTGTAAAACTACAATAAGAGTAAGTTGAAAATCCTTACCCATGAAATGAGAACTATGTCTATTTTACTGTACAGTTATTAAAGATGTAACTGTACACAATAAACTATAAAATGCTGATCTGAAGGTGGTTATGAGAGTAGTTTTTGTGTTGAATTGCTTCTACTGTTGCTTCTTCTTGTCTCTTTTTTATTCACATGTAAATAACTGTTCCAGACTTCTCTAATCTTAGCTCTTACTACATATACCTATTAAAGGTTTTTAATCTTTTAAGTCTGCAATTTCTTGAAGGTTGTTTTTAAAACAATTTTATTGCTAAAGGATACTTTATCTGTGCCAGGAACTTTCTGTTCATACAATGTCTTTTGCTGTTTCCTTTTGATATATTACAAGAAAACGTTATTTTTATCTTATTATCAGTAAAATAATCCAGCTCACTCCACCTCTCAGAGTTAGATTACACATGTTGGCTGAATACTTTAATAAGTCTCCTTTAATAACAGATGAAGAAATAATAAGTATTTCACAGTACTTTCATAAGTTTCCTTGGAGGCTGGGAGGCTGAGCTCCAAAAAATGGTAGATAGAAAATATTGTAAACTTGAGATTAAGCTATATTGCTCTGCATAAAAAAAGAGCGATTATAGTGGCTGGAAAATTGATGGAAAGTGGAGGGAAAGAAAGAAAGTTTATGCGACTTGAAACCATTGATATAAGTTTTTAAAAGAAGCCTCATTTAGTGTGTTTGTGTGTATTCGTGTGCACTTAGGAGTAAAATTTTATGAGCTGCACAACGCAAACTACCTAATTTTTTCCTATGACATACTTTGTTAAAAACCATGTAGATCAGTAATTGGCTTATGCAGAAATTTGTATTTTAGAGTAATTTAAGAACATCTGTGTTGTGCTTCAGAGTTGGAATGAGACAAAAATAAAAGCTGCCTTTGGGTGGACGGTCATATCTGGTTATTTATAAAAACAGAGCAGCACTTAGTGGCATTTCGCTTTAGATCACACTAACCAGGACACATCTTTCACTGTGACAGCCAAACTCTCAAATTCAGGGTTCTGAATTGAACAACGGTCCTTTGTATATAATCTGAATGTCATAAGAAAGTCAAGGAAATGACTCTGAATTCCTATATTAGTTCTGTGGAAGCCAGAGGAATGCATTGTTTATGATACAATGTTTCACAAAGCATTTGTCAGCTAACTTGGGAGTATCCAAAAAACTCTTAAGAAGTCACAGACTAGGTATTGGCCTTCAACTCTGCTTTGAAAAACTCAAAATTTCTTAAGATTTTTCAGTATTCATTCAAAAGACAGCTGTGCTTTGGTTGATTCTGTGATCTGTTTTTTTCATCTGCTAAAATACGATTATATGGTTAGTTAAGAATATTTTGAAACTGATGACAGAAACTATGCGCTACATTGAAGGAAATGTGCCAGATATGAGAGAAACTGAGTTGTGGTGAGAACGTGCCACTGTATGAGAGGTGTCAGGCAGCAGACAGAGAAGCAATGGCATTTAATACATTTTTTTCAGGGTTAGCCATTAGGATTACCTATGTTCTCAAATTCTCAAATGCCTCTGTCAATGTTGCTGACAGCTCTTGAATGGCTTTTCAGTAATGAGGACGTTACCAGTGACTTATATGTCAAGTTTCTTACTAGATATCAGCATCAGAGAGAGAGGACTTGCACATGCATGTTAAGTTGTGAGATTTAAAAAAACAAACAGGGAGCAATACGACAAGGTAAAGTACGGCAGAGTATGGGAAATCAGAGCAGGCAGCACAAGGCTGACATTGATGCATAAAAACTCTTTCTGAAGAAATCTAGAAGAACAGCCCATGCTGTCACAGACAGTAGTGACCCCTCAGATTCTTAGTATTAATAGAGCTATTTTGGAGGCTCAAAAGCATAGGGCAGCATTGGCTGCTCTCAGACAACAAAACTGAGCAGAAAGTTTTCAACTGGATACATCATTTCATGTAAGAGAGCTGCTGAGGTTGTGCTCCTGACAAATAGATCCCATCAACTCAGTGCAGCAGCTTCTCCACTTCCAGCGAGAAAGCTAGGAAGCTTGGGGTCCTTCAAACACAAAGACTACTTTGATTTTAGTGTGAATAACTTTGTCCCCAATGATGTCTGGAAGCTACACCTCACACACAAGGCCATAAAAGGTCTCAGTCATAGGGCAGATACAGTGGCTCACACCTGTAATCCCACCACTTTGGGAGGCTGAGGTGGGTGGATCACCTGTGGTCAGGAGTTTGAGACCAGACTGGCCTACATGGTGAAACCCTGTCTCTACTAAAAACACAAAATTAGCCGAATGTGGTGGTGCATGCCTGTTAATTCCAGCTACTTGGGCGGCTGAGTCAGGAGAATTGCTTGAACTTGGGAGGCAGAGGCTGCAGTGATCCGAAACTGTGCCATTACACTCCAGCCTGGACAATAAGAGCAAAACTCTGTCTCAAAGAAAAAAAAAAAAAAAAGTCTCAGTCATATCTAAGAGATTAAGAAAAATACATATACCAACAATGAGATGGGTGTGTTGTGTCCGGAATTGGTGGGTTCTTGGTCTCGCTAACTTCAAGAATGAAGCCGCGGACCCTCGCGGTCAGTATTACAGTTCTTAAAGATGGTGTGTCTGGAGTTTGTTCCTTCAGATGTTCAGATGTGTCTGGAGTTTCTTCCTTCTGGTGGGTTTGTGGTCTCGCTGACTTCAGGAGTTCAGCTGCAGACCTTCAGGGTGTTACAGCTCTTAAAGTCGGCGGGTCTGGATTTGTTCGTTCCTTCCAGTGGGTTCACAGTCTCACTTGCCTCAGGAGTGAAGCTGCAGACCTCCGCGGTGAGTGCTACAGTTCATAAAGATGGTGCAGACCCAGTGACCAGCAGCAATATTTATTGCGAACAGTGAAAAGAACAAAGCTTCCACACCACGCAAAGGGAGCCAGGAGGTTGCTGCTATTGGCGCTGGTGGCCTGCTTTTATTCCCTTATCTGGCCCCACCCACATCCTGCTGATTGGTCCATTGTACAGAGAGCCGATTGGTCCATTTTACAGAGAGCTGATTAGTCCGTTTTACAGAGAGTTGATTGGTCCATTTTGACAGAGCGCTGATTGGTGCATTTACAAACCTTTAGCTAGACTGGAAAGTTCTCCAAGTCCCCACCTGACCCAGGGGCCTAGCTGGCTTCACCTCTCAATGGCACTCACTGTAGGACTTTGCGGCACCTAGCCCTCCAGCAGCCCACAGGGAGCTTGTCTCCTGACCAAGCCCAGCAGGCGCCAGCTGGCTGTGCTCAGTGCCCTCCTCCCGACGAGCCTGTGCCCACCCGGAACCCCTGCTCGCCCACGGCACACGCAGCCCCAACTCCCGCCCCGCGCCACATCTCCCCGTGAGCAGAGGGAGCCGGCTCCGGCCTCGGCCAGCCCCAGAGAGGGGCCCTCACAGCGCAGAGGTGGGCTGAAAGGCTCCTCGAGCACTGCCAGAGCGGACAGCGAGGCCTAGGAGGCACGAGAGCGAGAGAGGGCTGCTAGCACGTTGTCACCTATCAATGTTATGTTTCATTGTTAAGGTGATTTTTGTATTTATTGCTCAGTGAGGAAATAACCAGCAGTAAAGGTGCTATAGTTTGAGTAATCCTGGTCACAAGAGTTAGGAGTTGAGGGGATGGAATAGATGAACGAACCGTTTCCCTCCCAAAGACCCTGGATGCAATGCCATCTGCTGACAATATTGAATCTCTCTTTTGGTGTCAGGAACATAGGGAAAACCCTTATTCTTCATTTGGAGGAACTATGGAAAAAAACCAGGTTATGCATTCCTCCAGCTCACCTAAGCGACTTGCACATTCTAATGTTGCTGACTCTGGCCATCAAGAGTTATTTATTCATAAGGCGTCAAAGAAAATCTTGAAGCCTTCACTGATAGTGAAGAGAAAATCTCCCACCTGGCTAGGGTGGGGTGAAGAAGGTGCACAGAAGGAAAAGAAAGAAATTTACTCAATATTTAAATAAGTGAGATGAAGTAAGTAACACTTCCATAGGGGCCACTGAACAATGACTTAGACCCACATTCATAAAATAAGGAGCAAAGGAAGAGGGACAGGAAGCACTAAGTCTGGAGAGGGGCACAGCTACATGTGAGTATTTTCATTAGCATCATCTCAGTGAGAATGTGTTCCATTTTGCAAGAGGTTAAAAACATTTGCTCACCGAAAGCTGGAACAATATGATTAAAAATCCAATTTTTAATCAGCTTATAGAAGGGTCTACCATAGTACTGGACACTGTGATGCATACCCAAATCCCTTTTCTTCAGGACAAAAGCATTCATCCCCCCAGATACTGATAATGGTAATGGTTGAAAGCCCAGAGCTAAGCCCCTCCTCCTGATAGTTGCTCTTGAATGAAGAAAGTCCCCTTATCCAAAGTCATATTATTTGTTTGGCATTGTCACATCCATATGTGAGAACACAGAACATGCATTACTTTTGCTGGAAGCAGAAGTGCTTCTTTCAACTATCTCATCTCTGGCTTTACTGTCAGCTTTGCAATCAACCTTTATAATTTGTTATGGATCTCTTGGTATTGTCATCTGGCTTTTTCAAGGTTGCCTAATTGGAGCAACTGGAGGAAGAAAGGAAGAAAGAAAAAAGCGAGGGTTTTTTTTTTTTTTTTTTTTTTTTTTTGTATTTGTCAATATCCCCCATCGATAGTGGCCCTTTCACGACCTTCCAACACATTTACAATCAATTCCCTGAGTTAAACTTTATTCTGTTTGAAATATCTATAATATAGTAGTTTTTATTTTTCTGAATGGATGTTGACTCAAAGTACTAAATATTCAGAGGGGATGGAAAAGCAATTATTTATGAGGTTAACTATCTTCCAAAAAGGCATTTGGTCTATTAGTGGATCTTGACTTTTTGTGACATTGTTGAAGTTTCCAATTTACCATCCTCAAAGAAATCACTTCACTTCTGAGTTGTTGTTTCCTCCGGTGTAAAATGAAGGGCTTAGACTTCCTATCCTTTAAGATGTTTTTTAACTTTAAATTTTATGAATCCAGAGAAAATGAAAGTATTGAATTCTCACTAATCCCTAAATTTTTTCATGTGTAAACATCAGACTCAAGAACCAATGGTAGAAAGATCAGATAGCAAAGGATTTACAAGTATAATTATTTGGGGGATGCTTGATATTTTAACGCATTTCAGCAAACAATATATCACACTATAAGTAATAAGAAATCCAGAAATGAACCATATTTTAAAGGTAACATAAAGTACTTTACAAATTCGGTCATAAGGGACTGCCACTTGTTTGTCACAAAAAGTAAAATGTAAGCTGTGCATTCTTTCCTGAAAGTCTAAAGCTAACAGAGTGTAGTACTGACACTACATTCTAAGACATTCCAAAAAGTCTTTCCTGAAAGTCTGAAGCTAACAGAGTATAGTACTGACAATATATTCTAAGACATTCCAAACAGACAAGTAATCTTGCAATAAACAGAAAATGGATCACTTGTCATAGTCAGTAACTGATGCAACTAATAATCAAGACATACATAGATGTCTTTTCATAGAAATGCCCTGCTATGTGAGTGTTAGCAACTGGAATATTAATATCTCAAAAAATACTATTGCTGTCATTTAAAGACATAGCAAAATGTGACTTAAATCTGAAATCTGTTTGGCATAGGTGTATTTTAGAGTCATAGAAGCTGTTGAGATCATGCTCACAGTTATATATCTAGTGAGAAATAATTTTTAGCTGTATAAATACAAGGTTTTACCCTCATCAACTATCTTTTGTCCAAACCATAATCATGCAAAATTACTGGTAGTGAGAGCTTTTGTTACTGGCATCCACAGAGTAATTTATAATGTTAGAAAGGCCTTTGCCATTTTCCTAATTGACGTTCTAAGTCGGGATTGCATTTGGATCTATCATTGTCACTTGGTTGTCACAGAGTCCAACATAAGCTGTGCATTTTAAATATAATTGCTATATATGCTGTTTCTTATGTTTCAGCAAAGCAGCAAACACACTTTTGAATTCATCATATGTCACGACAATGCATTCAAACCTTCAAATTAGTATTCAGAATTGGAGTGAATTATCTTGGAACTAAACAAAACAACCTTAAATAGAGGAAGTGGTATTACCTTAAAATGAATTGATCTTCAGTTTTATTTGAAAGCTGGCCATCAATCCATGCTAATTCTTATTTAAGCCATATCATACAAATTTTGAAATAAAGACTGTTTATAAAATATGAGGTTTTTAATAGTTGTTTCCTCAAATATTATCAACTATTGAACAACCTTTGCTGAGTATAGATAGAATGGAACTCTTTTAAATAATATGCAAAACTCAATTGTCACATATAATGCATTCTAAAATAATTCGAACTACATTAGAATATGAACAAACCATGCATAAAAATCACATATGTGCCTGTAATTCCAGCACTTTGGGAAGCCAAAGCAGGTGGATCGCATGAGTTCAGGAGTTCGAGACAAGCCTGGACACCATGACAAAACCCAATCTCTACAAAAAATAGAAAAATTAGCTGGGTGTGGTGGCACGTTCCTGTAGTCCCAGCTACCTGGGAAGCTGAGGTAAGACGATTGCTTGAGCTCAGGAGGCAGAGGCTGCAGTGAGCTGAGATTGCACCACTGCCCCTCCAGCCTCGGTGACAGAGCAAGACCCTGTCTCAAAAAAAAAAAAAAAAAACCACGTTAGGCATATAATTGGCATATTTACACATCACAAAATCTCCTACGTTTATCTTCCAATAAATTCTGAGTTCTAGAAACTAATTTTATATAAACTATAATGAAATATTCTGTTATATAATATACCTTATAGGCAAGATAAAAAAATTTATATCTCAGTGTATTAGTTATATATTACTAAAAAATTATTCCAATACCCATGGTACAATTTCTGATCATAAAATTATGTATTTAAAGAGGTATGTATACTTATTCAAGTGAATGAAACATTATTAGTCTACCTTGCTATGGAAACAAATTACATATTTTAATCTCAACAATTTATCAGAAATGGATCCAGTATAATATTTAGCAACAATGAATAAAACATTAAAGATATGTGTATAAAATATATGCAGACAAAATCTACTGAAGTATTGTTTTCAAATGTGCAAAATAGTTGATAAAACCTGCTCAAATGTTTGAAAAAAAGAAGTTTGAGGCCTAAAAACATTAGATCAAAGATAATAAATCATTTGTTTCTGGTTGTTAATTTGTATTAGCATATATGGGTTAAAGCCACAGTTATTTGAAGACGTTTCATAATGTGTTGTCTACAGATTTTCTCTAGGATCAAAATCTAACTTAAGAGCTTGACATTCCAGTAACAAGAAAACCCTATTCAGAAAGAAGGAGCAGGTCACAGAGCATAAAAGACAAAGCAAGGGGGCCTAAGAGGGGGTCCTCCAGTGCTCACTTTCCTCCTACCTCATTTCAAAACCCATAATTTTTCTCTGTACAAAGCCAAATGCTTTTTGGAAGTTTGCAGTTTAGCAGACTCATTTGTGAAGTAATTGTTTTCTTCAGCCTAACTAAAGCATATACTCTGTTGATGTTGAAAGATATGCTGTTTCCTATTATAAAATTTCTGTAACATGAGAAAGATATAGAATATATTTGTTTTTATTTACAGTGTAAATTTCTTTGCCTAAGAACTAAACAAAAGATTATGGTGTTTAAATTTCATTCTCTATTTCCTTTGAGGCTTTTCCCTTTGAAGATGTAACATCCATCCTCTCACCAGTATTTTTATTGTATAATTTGGGACTCTATTATATAGTAATATTTTTTCAATTATTTTGTCAACATCAGGCCCCAGTAAAACGGGACAGTTTCACCACCTTGTTCCGTTGCCTCCTTCATTTTACCTTCATGGAGGAAGACTGCTCTTTATCTGTCAAGTTCAAGGATTCAGATTAGGATTCAGAGCCTATGGAATGATGGTTATTATTGGAACTTCATATTCTCTAAGGTCTGAAGACATAACCAGGGTCTTAGACTACAGCCACTTCATGAAAGCACATTCACCTCTCTGTCTTTGTCACTTCCCCCCCGCCCCCCTCCTCTGACCATGCTCTGTCCCATGCGGCTGGGACACTCAGATGAACAGCTAGACTGCACTTCTGCTCAGGAGATGCCTCGTGAGAATGCTCAGAAGAAAGGCACTAGCCATGGAGCTGCTCTCTAGCCATAGGATTCTCTTGATCTTTTGTTTAACTTTTATCTGTAGATTTTTATTATCTTTCTTTCCTGCTAGAGCGATAGGATTCGTGTTTATTTTAGTTTGTGAGCTGAGAAGCCAACAAAAATTGAACCATTCAGTCTGCTTTGGTTCTAAGCCCTGGCTTGTTTTGAACCTAGGTAAAAAGAGTTCTCTAGATGTTTCCATCTACCTCACCACACGCTGCACAGAATTTGCTGGCCTGGCACACTGTTCTTCATGGTAATTGCTTTCTGAACTCCAGAAATGGGTACTTTTTAAAGGACAAGATTGTAGGCTTTTGATGTCTCCCTTTCTCCTTTCCTATTTTTCTTTCTCTGTTTTATAAATTTATGGCATTTATATTTATGTAAATATACTATATGTGTTTTATATATTTATATAAATATGCCTGCTATATTTAAATTGATCTATACATAAAAATGTAGATAGACAAAGATATAAATTAGATATAGATACAGCCCTTTTAAACAAATATTATCACATGTTCAAGAAGTTGAAGGCTTTGAATAGTGATAAATAGGATTCATATTAGTAGGCATCACAATATTTAAACATGTAAGGACATAAGTAGATATGAAATCTCATGTCTACTTTAACAAATGTAAATGTAAACAAAGAATATTTCAAAACCATAACAGCCATTGTATACTCATCATGCAAAGTAGATTGGGAAAAGATTATCCGTCAAGATGAGAACAAAGCACTCAGGATGGATTACTAAACCTCATGTAGAAACTAATGATGATGAAAGAGATCAACTGAAAACGTTTGACAATATGGTTTTCAGCTCAAGACTGCACTTAGGTACCCCCACCATAAAACTTTTCCCAGTGTTCTTCTCAGCAGAATTTGGAAACTCCCTTGACTTTGGAGCCTTCTTTTTGAAACTTCTTTTTGTTTTATATTAATCTAAGTAAACTATTTAGAGTCAGGATATCTTTGAACTATAATTTCTTCCTTGGAAATAGTGTAAAGATATCCACATATGTGTTGCTTAATAAATTATTTTTTTGAAGAATACCATTATTACTCACAATTACTTGAATAAAACAGATTTATGCCAATGGATCTTCAGAACAAAAAAATTAAAAAAAAAAAAACAGATTCATTCGTTCAACAATACTTATGAAGTGCCAGACACTGTTTAGACACTTGGGATATATGACTGAATTAAATATACAAGAATTCATTGTTCATATAGCTTACATTTCAGTAAGAAAGACAGATAATAAACAATAATCATAAAGATTTAATAAAACTAGGTTAAAATATGACAAGTGCAATGGAGAAAAGAAAAACCAGGAGAAGTTAAAGACCATGGAGAAGTGGGGACCTGGGTGTGGGGAGAAGAGACCACTCATGTAATGTCAGTCAAGGTAATAACCAACAGGAGGCAATGAACTTTTTGCCATGTGTAAATAGTGATGCAAATTTGGCAAATATACAAATTCCAGCTTTTTGGTTAACATAGAAACCACAGAAATGGCTGAAACAATAGCATGAAACCATTTGGTGTGAATAGTTTCAAATTAGAAAACTGAAGCAGAATTCCAGAATATAAAGGGTTTTTTTAAAATAAGAAAACTATAGCAAATGAGTATTCTACACTTTCCCCAAAATAGAAACTGAAGAGCAGACTGCTGTGCTGTTTTTCTAAGAAAGCTGACTACTATTATATCCCCCAATCACATGCCAGCTGAGCAATTTGTTTGTAGAAAAAAAAATTAGTGAATTTAATGCTTAGCAATCACCCATGGCAAAATCTTTTTGTTGTTGTTTTCTTTAAAAATGTCTTCACTATAAAAGAAAACACAATGCTATAATGCAGAGAAAATCTTAGAGTTAAATTTAAGATTATTACTGAAGATATCTTTTGAAGATGCCATTTAGTACAGGCTTAACAAATTGTTTTTTACTGAAAGCTCTTTGGTACAATTGAATGACTTTCCTTCTCCAATGCAACCATCAACTGCTTAAATCAATACTGAAGAAATTATTCTGTACAACACCACCTGGGCTACAGAGAGTAATTTTTCAATTATAGAACCATACATATTAGACACAATACAGAAAATATATACTAAGTGGGAAACAGATGTCCAGAAATCTGCCTCTGATTGGAGCACTAAACAGAGCAGAGAAATGGACTTTCAACTGCACATTACGTTGTGAAGGGGCTCACAGGCCCACAACATGGCAAAAAATTAAAGAGAACTTGGGGGAATAAATCTCTGTGTCTCTACTAGGGAACAGGAAACCAATGAGCTTTGACTGATAGGGCTGTGATTGTTGCATGATTTTGTGTGTAAATATGCCAAAAGATTGCTCAGCTGCCATAAAGCAGCATGTATAATAATGAGAGAATGTTAAAGAAGTTCATCATATTGAAAGTGTAATTTCATAGCAGAAAAGAGTTCTAGACAAAAATAAAAATATCTAGGATGACTTTCTCAACAAACTCTCTGGTCAACAAACAGTGAAGTCTTGGATTGTAACTATCTTTGATAAGAGGATTCTTATTAGATGACCTCTAGGATCTCTTATGTCTTGTAGAATCTATGATTATATAACATAACTTTTATATATGCATCTACAAAACAAACAACTTACAAATGCATCTACAGAACAAATGATTCCAGAGAAATAAAGTATTTTTAAACTGATGAATAAATAAATACCAATTAATTAGGCCCACTTTTTAAACTTGATCTTGTGTCTTTTTTAGAATTTAGCAGTTTATACACTATTATTTACTACTGCAAGAAGTGTCCAAGCATTTGAATGTTTGACAATAATAAGCGTTCCATGCTGATCATGACTCTGATTGTAATATATATTGTTATGGGGAAATTTGATTATTATATTTGCAACAAATGAAAAAAATGTGATTAAATAAAATCCTTTTAAAATTGCTATTGTTCGTTAAAAAAGAAAAGTAGAACAGAAATAAAATTGTATATTTAGTTCATTCCATAAAAATATTAGATGATTCTCCAGGGATGCAGAGAAATAGAATATTATAGTGTCTTTGCATTTGTTTTGTCATGTCTTTGCTTCTGTTTTCATATGTGTAAGGTTGGGTGGATAAGAGTGACTTCACATGTAGCTATAATAAGACCATTAGAAAGAATAAGTAAGAATACATATTAGCATGGGAAACTGTCATAATTAATGAATTTTCATTAAAATTGCTGTAGGCCATATTCTTTTTGAAAGTTACAATGTGACAGTCCTAAAGCCATTCTTTGATACAGTACAAGTTAGACATGAGAATTAGAGACTAAGTTGATTAGTCTCTTATTAACACACTGTGTTACACATTATTATTATTATTTATCACTCAAATTAACTTTCTCCACATTTATATGTATATTTAAAATGTTCTTATTAATACTTCTAATATAATCTAAGAATTAACATATTAATGCAAATTATTTAAAATAATTATATAAAAGTATGTATAATCATAAAACAAATGTAAGTATAATAATATATAAAATATTCCAATCATGAGTTTTGAAAAAGTAATAGAAAAAAGAAATTAACTAAAAACAGTTATCTCACTGCTACCATCACTTATATTCATGAACATCACATTATCACTTAACTTTTCAGAGCCCTTACAAAATTTTAACTTTTATTCCACAAATGCTGCCATTCTTAAAGTTCAGTGTTATTTACTATATTGAAGCATTCACAATCAACCAAGTACTGAAATTTTCTAATAACCGAATGACATTTCATTTAACCTTTTTAAATAAAATAGCATATAGAATTTATTTCCTTGAATTGATATACAAGGTGGGGCTAATCTTTACTTGAGCCAACAACCCAGAGATAATAATGTGACATATCAGATGCTTTATTAATAAAAATATTAGTTTACTATTGGGGAATATGAAGCCATGCCTTTTTTCAAAACAGTGTTCAATATTCAATTAAACATTACTAAAAACACATAACATGGTTACTTACTCAGCTAAAAAAGTTCTTATAAACTCTTCTTAGTTCTCAGCCAAAAATAAATACCTTAAAAATATTCAGCTTAATCATCAGGATATCATTGTGAGTATCCATAAAAGAAAAACATTGAATTAGTAAGACTATATTTAGATTCTATAACTAAAATTAATGTTCACCTATTAATCATGAGATTTGAGATTAATGCATTTTCTTATAGATTATTTTTACTTTGCCATAGAATAACTTGTGGTAGACCAAACCGCCCTCCAAGAACAACTAAAACAGTGGATAAAATATACTCAAAAATATATATGTGTTTGAAGGTGTCAGAGAGTTACCTCAGATAGGACTTGGGCAATCAAGATCATGGATACCAAGGAAACTCAATGAAGTGATCCTGACATCCCACCCCGCGTTTTTGTCAAGCCATTTGCCCCCAGTTATAAGCAGCAAGAAATAAGGAAGTGAAAGGCCCCAAGCAGAGATTTTGAAAGTTTCACAGGCCTAGAAAAACAATAATTGGATTTTAGGGCTACAGAACTGCCATGACATGAGGGAACAAGATCTAGGAGTGGCAGGAATCCAAAGAAGTGAATGTACCCTGAGCTGGTTCCCCATTTGAGAAACTGCCCAATTCCCTAGCCCTACAGATGAAACAGAAAACAGCAGCTAAGAAGCCGGGAAGCTGAGTAAACTTTGGCTGTCTTCCAGTGCCAGTAGAACAAGGTTCAGATTCCACCAATGAAGAGGGCCCACAAACACCTTAGATTCTTAAATGAGACTATTTCTAAGAAAAAGAAATTAGACCAAGCCTCGGGAAGAGTTAAATCCACTATTCAATCTGTCCAATCTTTAACTGAATCAAGATGATATTTTCTTAATCTATATACCTGCCACCAGCTAAGAAAATTCAAATAAATCAATGTTTAAAATATCCTCTCTGTTGAAAAAAATTCATTCAGATACTTTGTTTTTAATATTCAATGTTTCAAAAATTATCAAAACTAAATATTACCAGTAATAGGATATGGATTACTATATAAACATATTTGCTTGCTCTATCTGCTAAGCAAGCCGAAAAATATCACGATTCACTAGTGATGAACACACCCAGCACCAAGATTTTGCTTTTGAAAACCAATGAAAGGAATCAGGAGTCCTTAGAGACATGGCTGAATCTAAGACTGAAATAGAGAGCCTGGGACATATTACAGCATCAGAAACTAAGGAATTGCTAAAAATAAAAAGGACAGGGGTGGAGAGAGGGAATGCAGGAGGGTATGGGGCATCACAAGGGGACACAGGAGGCAACTGAAAGAGCTCCAATGGCCAAATCTGAAACAATTTGAGCAAGAAAACAGGTAAAGAGTAAAATGAATGGTTGAGTTAATAAATTGAAAGTGATAGGCAAATTTCCTATGTAAAAGAGTTCCTAGTAATCTATGCAGATAGTTATAAGTCAAGCATATACCCTTGATATGATGTGACGAGATGGCATTTACTGATGTGTTCTTTCTCCAAAAAACTGTAACCCAGACTAATAATAATAAAAAAACACATAAAGTCTAATATAATGAAATCCTGCAATATACCTGATCAGCATTCCTCAAATGTCAAATTATCAAAGTTATTAAAAACAAGAAAAGTGCAAGAAAATGTTACAGTCAAAAGGCACCTAAAAAGAGATAAGAACTAAATGTAAAGTGATATTCTGGATGGTAACCTGGATCACAAAAATGACATTAGGTAGAAACTAAGGATATCTGAACAAAATATGTACTTTAGTTAATAATAGTGAATTGATATTGATCAATTTTTGTGACAAATATGCCATGGTAATGTAAGATGCTAATAATAGAAAAAACTGGGTGTAAAGGTATATGATGACTTTTGGTATCATCTTTGTAACTTTTCTATAAATCTAAAACTATTCTGAAATAAAAGTTTCATTTAAAAAATAAATGAGAACAAAATTAAAATTAAAGGCTTATAAATGGGTCTTCAAATGGTTCATAGGTTGGAGCTTACAGCCATAGACTTTAAAATAATTATGATTAATACATGAGAAAAATATAATGACATGATGAATTTTACCAGGACACTAGAATCTTTTGTTTATGCAAATAAAAGCTATAAAACTAAACAATATAGTAATTGAATTTAAGGGTTGAATAGCAGACAAAAACATGCTTAAAAGAGGATTACCAATGTAGAAAACAAGTGACTAGAAAATATTCAAATTGAAGCACAGGGATGTCAGAGTGATTAATTTATAACCAGTTTGTTGAACAGGCATGGCATGTGGATAGCTATTAAACACACACACACGTATACATTGATATGGTTTGGTTGTGTCCTCAACCAAATCTCATCTTGAATTGTAGTTCCCATAATCCCCACATGTCATGGGAGGGAACAGGTAGAGATAAGTGAATCATGGGGGTGGTTTTCCCCATCCTGTTCTCATGATAGAGAGTTCTCACAAGATCTGATGGTTTCATAAGGGGCTTCCCCCTGTGCTGGGGACTCATTCTCTCTCCTACCATCCTGTGAAGAGCTACCTTTTGCCATGATTGTTAAGTTTCCTGAGGCCTCCCCAGCCATGCAGAACTGTGAGTTTATTAAACCTCTTTCCTTTATAAATTACCCAGTATCGGGTATGTCTTTATTAGCAGTGTGAAAGGACAACTACATACATACAACTTTCTGTGTCACATCATACTTTTAAACTTAAATTCCATGTGAGGAAATTTCCCCTGCCTCTGGACAAAAACTCTGGCAAAACAATGACTATTGTGATATTAATGATAGTTCCAGATCATTTTTTATCATAAATGCAGTCTTGAATATCTTTTTTCCCCATTTAATAATATCCAGTCCCATCTAGTAAAAAAAAAAAAAACTATAAATTTGACTTTATAATGATTTTTTTTCCTTGTGCCAGCTTGAAATTTCCAGACTGTACACTGGCTATTGGAATATGCTGGTCATTCTTCCCTCTCTTCCCTGACTTCTTGGCCCTCTGACGGCTGTTTTTTTACTTTAATAATAAGGTAGGGGAAAGAAGAGGCAGAGGAGAGGGAACTTCTTACTTGGCCTCTGGGCTTCCTGCCTACTTGTCTTGGAAGATAATCAAAACTGATTCTATCAGAAACACTACAAAGGGGTCCTGCATCAGGCTCCTTTCTGCAGTCCTCCACAGGATTTACCAGTATTCCTGGTAGTTTTCCATGACCTATCTCAGCTACTAGTATCCAATAATAGGGCTCCAACCTCATTCTTCTGGTTTGTCCCTTGTATCTCCACTCAGTATTATTGGATAAGATTCAGGATTACTCCATATTGTCTTTCGTTCCCACAGGGTCCCTATCTGGTCCCAGTAAAGCACTCAGCAACCTGAAAAACTTACCTGATAAACTCTTAACTGAGCCACTCTGGATAAGTGTTACCCATATAAGCTTACCCTAATAAATTCTGGGGCTACAGCACAACTCAATCGCTCTCATGGGTCCACTTTAAAACATACCATCTCTGATCCTCTAGATTTGCAGAGTCACTCCCCAATTTACATTCTGTGTTAGCTTTCTCAGACATAATTCCATTATTTCTCTGTCTGTCAGATGCACGGGAAATACTTGAAAGATCTCCCAAGGGTCCCTTTCTGAAGCCCTACTCGCTAGCCTTCTAGATATAGGGTAGCACTCCATTAGACATCCACCAAGGAGATTCCACATAAAAATGTATCTGCCTCCAAATAGGTCATTTCACCAATATCCTCTTTTGTGGCCTTTATTCTTTCTTTCCTTTTTATAACCAGAGGTTTACAAATTATAAAATAGGCTTTTCTTCTTCCTATGGAAATTCCACAAAACTTGCATGAAGTGTCCATTTCCCATATATTAATACTTTGCTAGTCTAATGTAAATTATATCACCACTTCACTTAAAATCAAGAAATCTTGTTTTAACATCCAGTTATAGTTTTAAATATGTAGTAAAATTACTATAAGGCCTCTGTTCAAAACCCTCCAACCTCTACTATAAGTCATAATGAAGGAGACCGTAGTACCCTAACCATTCCAACAAAAACAATTAGAAAAAATTGAGAAAATACAGAACAATATTTTAAAGGCACAGAAGAGCAATCAAGCCAGTCAGAAGACAAAAGATAATATCTGAACAAAAAGGAAAGTATGCTAAAGAAAGCCCTTACTAATTTTTTCTGGTATTTCCCTTCAGGCATTTTCTGCTTGGCTCAGGCAATGAGTCAAAGAAGACATAAAATTACAAGCCACAATCAAATACCAGTGAATACACACTTTAAAACAAAAAACTGACAATTATAGTAATGACAAGGATGTGGACCACCTGCAGTTCTCCAACACTATGTATGTGAACATAAATCAGTTTAACCACTTGGAAAAGTGTTTATTTTTCACTAAAGTTAAAAGGATGTGCATTAAATCTAGCAATTGCATTCATAGGTGTCTACCCAGGAGAAATAAGTGCATGTGTGCAAAAAGATATTTACAAAAATACTTAACAATAGCAGAATATTTGCAATATGCTGAAACTGTAAATAATCCAAATGTCCATCAACAGAAGAATGGATAAATAAATTACATGTGTAGAAGGGAACACTTTATATAGCAATGAAAAAGAATGAATTGGGGCTATACACAACAATATGGATGAATCAGAGAAATGTTATTTTTAATAAGCTAATCTCAAAAGAATACAGTATGATTTCATTTATATAAAGTTAGACAACAGGGAATGCTAATCAAGGTGATAGAAGTCAGAATAATGGTGAGTTTGGAGTGGGAGATGTTATTTAGAAGAGGACATGAGGGAGGCTTCAAGGCTTCTGTTCATATTCTGTAGTTTTGTCCGAATGGTAGTCTACTGGGGATATTCATTTGCAAATTGACTACAAAATAAAAAAATGAAATCGAAACTTTCACAAAGAATCAGCTGCCACCAGTTTGAGCTCATCACTTTACTGTTCACGTCCTCTTTATTCATGATGTTCCTGCACACCGGCCTCCTTGCTGTCCTCAAGCGTAGCAAGCATGCTCTCATCCAGAAATGTTTACACTTCTTTCCTATGCCTAGACTACTCTTCAGAGAGAGCCACATACTAAATCTCTCACCTCCTTCAAGATTCTGCACAAATGTTGCCTTCCGTGATAATTTTATATAAAATACACACACACACACACACCACTCTCCTCTTCATCCTGGTTATTATTCATAGCCCTTATTATACCAGTTATTAATATATTTATTTATTTTGTGTAAATATGTTCTATATATTTATAACCTTTTGTAAGCCCTAGAAAGCTGAGAATGTATTTGTTCTAATCACCACTCTATCTCAGTCTAAAACCATGCTTGGCACAAAGTAATTGCTCAGTAAAAATTTGTTCAATAAGTGATGAATAAATGTCCCAGTCTAGAAAAAAAGCTATTTTTTTAAGTCAAAACTTACAGTAACTCCTCACTTAACATTGTCAATAGGTTCTTGTAAGCTGTGACTTTAAATGAAACAGAATGTAAGGAAACCACTTTTACTAGTTTACTGGTATAGACTAATTGATATAAACGAGAGTTTAGTTCCTACAGCATATTTCTTGTCACGAAAACATCACCAAACTTATCAATAAAGACTAGAACGCTTCTAATATTGAATGTTGAAATAAATGTGAGCTATACCTACATTTAAGCAAGGTTAATTTTACAAAATAAGATAATTACCTAATTTTTCCAGTTCAGGGCCACAGGTAACCAGAGGCCATCACTGCAGCTGAGGGTACAAGCTGGGAACCAGCTCTAGATGGGAAGCCATCCCATTGCAGAGCACACTCACACACATACCCACACTTGGACGCACCAGTTCACCTAACATGCACATCTCTGGAATGTGGAAGGAAACAGGAGTTCCCAGAGAAAACCTAGGCAGACAGGAATGGAACAATCAAACTTAACACAGACAATGCTCTGCTAGGAATCAATTGTTTTTTCTCATCAATGTTATAATGAAACGATATCGAAGAAAATGACATTATTCAAGGACCAGCTGCACGTTATTAATAAAATATAAATTAACCTTTTACAGATTATAAACTCCATAACCAATTTACATCAAATAAAAGACTATTGAAAATGTTCTTCCTCTTTGTTGTTAAGGTTAGTTTTTAACAGGCTTTAGAATTCAAACAGGAAAAAAAATTCAAAAAAAGGATTATATCCAAAGTTGTCATCAGTACTAATGGCAGCTACTTTGTAACAGTGGGAAAAGTTATTCTCCTTCTACTTTCCTCTGCCCATCCCCCGTTTATTCAAAGCAGTCTCTTAGGTTCTGTTATTTACACTATCTTTTTGATATCTATATTAGATATTACCCTTTTGTACACTCTGTAGTTTTACTTTACTGCAGACACAGAATGGTCTACGTTCCAATTCCTTCATCCCTTAAAACCATGTTGAATTCATAAATTGTTCAATAATTGTGATCAGATATGTCTATTAGTTCTTCAATCCTCCCACCAATCTTGCCCTAAAGCCCCATATATATATTAATTTTATTACATATTTGTATTGCTAATATAAACACCTCTCCTAGCTAGCACCTGCCTTTCGTAAGTATATAGGCCCACTTGAAGCACAGAGAATTTACATTGATTTAGTCTGTGGCCCAAAGAGGAAAAAAAAATTGATTCTTCTTCTCCATCCTTATTTTGCCAGAAAAGAAGCAGCATTGGCTACAGTAAAGAAAGAGGGCTCTTAACTTCCACAGTAGAGAAAGACTGCTCCTGGTCACAGGTGCAACAGCCCTACTCCTCCTAAAGCAGAAATTCTGCCTGGTGATCTGGCATCCAGAAATTTAACATTCTCAATTAAATGAGGTGGTCTAACCTTCTAGTCTTTCTTTTTTTTTCAGAATGCCTGAAAGATAATAGCATTAATCATGAAAATAATAAGCAACTTCTGTTGCAAGTGCCTGCACTTAAACCTAAGTATGTTCCAATTCTGCACATTTGTAACATTGGTTAAGGAACTACCCCTTTGGGTCTTAAGTTTTTGTGCGGACAACATTTATGAAATTAAACTAATCCCAAGAAGAGAATTGAGCATTAGTAAAATAAATGGGGTGCTAATACTAAATAGATCATTTTATCTTTTACATACTTAATTCCTACTTTTTGATACTCTTGCTAAACCCAAATATCATGACCTGTAAAATAATCTTGAGTGAAAACCTGAAGAACTGAGGTGAAAAGCAACAGCGCCATCAATATGAGTACCTTCTGGCGGCAGCAGACAATCTCGTTGCATGCAGCCCTTGGCCTAGTGCTGATGCCTATGACAGGCTCAGGGCAGTGTTTGGCAGGCACTGGTGGAAGCTGATATGAGGAAGCGGGCAGGCACCTGCATACCTCCTGCTTTCAGGGAACAGGGGTGGCTGAGCAACAGGCAACACCAGAGAGCAGAGTAGGTAAGAAGAGGAATGGCAGCTGCCAAACAGTAACCAAGCACAAGCCTGTGGGCAAAACACCAAATTCATTCAGAATTTACAGAATGAGAGGAATTTGCGGGGTGCTAGAGTTTCAATGGAGCCAATATGGGTGAATTTAGGCAAATATTTCTGTTACTAATTTAGAAAGGCAGTTTTATCATTCATTAACTATATAACGTTGGAAAATATTGTTCTTGGGCTTCAGTTGACTCATCTTTAAAATGTGAGATAATAATAGCTACCTGGAAGAATTGTTGGAAGGATTAAATAAACATATACAGTTGACTCCTGTGTATCTATGTATCTATCTATCTATCTATCTATCTATCTATCTATCTATCTATCTATCATCTATCAAGATGTACATAAAAAAGCAGGCAAATCCTAACACTATATAAATGTTATTGTTATTATTATTACCTAATTTCCCTTCACCCCCGAATGCTGTGTCCTGGGGAGTATGAATTACACTATTTATAAAAGACTGCATATCATGGCAGGTGAGGGAACCCACAGTAGAGAAAGTAAAACAATAGAAAGTGAACACAAAAGTTGACACGAGTAGCAACTGCTGTTCATATTCCAATTTCAAGTAAATAGTAAAAATGGACATGTAAGTGCACTGGCTGACTGCTTATTTAAGACATACTTTAAAGCTAGTTCAGGTAGGCAGGTTTTCAAATGTGGTCAATGAATTAAACTGTGTCAGTTTCAAACTGTCACCATTAGAATCTAATTCAAATTTAAACAGCAATTTAAACAGTATAAAAGATTGCCCTCATCAGTCCTTCATAATCTTAACCTTTGGAGCTTTCCCCAGCACAGATAGCAAATTGAGTTAATTATTAGCCTTTCACCTAGGGGACCTAGGTAGAATTCAGCAGGTCAGAAGACAGCTAATGAGATTGGTAGGTTCATTTCAGTCCCCAGTGTACTTTAATCCCCAACACATATCCACCTGTCGTATTTTCCTACTGTTTTTTTTTCAGATAACATAATTCTAAGAAGTCAGAGTTGGCTGACATTTAAAATCCTCTTTGTAAAGTGACATACTCATATATACCAGTAAGGTCAAAGCAATGTCATATAGAAAACCACAAAAGAAAAAAATTAATGTCCAACAACAGAGTTGATTCCAATTGATTCCCATCATTTTGGGAGTGCATTTCTATTTCTAATATCTTCCAACAAAGCAAGCATCTCATTACATATTCATTAATTCATTTATATATTCAATTAGTACTTATAAATGATGAACATATGACAGTCCTTGTGGGTTCTGGGTACTTATTATCATAGAAATTATTGCCTGGTGGGAGATACAAACAGGTTAACCAAAAATTTTATTAAGGTATAACAAGATATGTAAAAGAGGGAGTATGAAGTTGCATAACCTGGACTGGGATGAGTCAAACAGGTTTTTTGAAGAAAATGATATCTAAGTTGGATCCTTAAGAATCAGTAGGTATTAGTTAAGCCTTGGAAATAAAATGAGGGTCTAGGGTAGTATATCTCAAGAAGAAGGAATGGAATATCCACAATTCTGGAACTTTAATGTGGCTGCAACGTAAGAGCATAAGAGGTGGGTGTTAGGGGAAGACACTGAAAAGAAAAATAAGCTCAGTACATTGTAAGACATTTAAAGAAATGTTGATTGTTTCCAGAAGGCAAGGACAACTAATTTCTGATAGGGACCATATCAGATTTGCATTTCAGAACGATTGTCCTGGCAGCATTAGTGCTAAACTGGCAAACCTGTGAAGAGGCTCTTGTAAAAAGTAAAGTTACTGATCATGATGAACTAGACAAAGGCAAAAACAATGAATATAGAGAAAAGTGAATGAGACTGAAAGATATTTGATAGAATAAACAGAACTGATGAATAGATGAATAAGGAGAAAATGATGTAGGAGTCAATTTAAAGGTCTAGCTTTCTTGTTTGATCCAACATGTAGGGGATGTTTTTGGTTAAAATAATAATAATAAAATCCTAGATGTATATTTCTAACTCCTCATTGGAAGCTAAATCTCCATGGGGTGCTAACATCCTGCATGTGTTCTGTTCCAGACTTCCTTTTAAAGGATGTTTGTACAACAAAGACACTCAGAAGATGCAGTGCCCGTGTCTTGGGCAGAGTGCAGATTTTTAAATAAAGATAATGTCTTACTGCAGTGCAAAGGTTGGAAAAGTTTGCTAGCAGCCATGTCTAACAGCTTAGGGCTGCCTTGGCTTAGAGTTCCTTAGCTGTGACACAGCCCCACTGTGTATGCATAACTGGGCCCTCCTCTACATTGCCCCATGGGACTTGGGGGCCTGGCAAAGGGAACTGATGTAAACATACAGTTCCTGCTTCCTGCTTTGCCATGAGTAAAAGCGTTCTTTTTCTCTGATCCAGTAGTTTCTTGTTTTCTGGGACCTCCATGAAACAGTAGCAGGCTAACCTGTTTTAATGTCAATACATTTCAGGTAATTCACAATTCTTGAACACTGCCCCACAACACCACTTTAAAATCATTTAAGGTTGTGGGTTTGGACTATTTGTGGTGATATAAAGTTATTATATTGAGGGTAGAAATTTAGGGTTAAAAAACATGTTAAATATATTTGAAACATTTTCAATTTTATATCTCTGTGAATACCTAAGTCCTATGTTTTTGTGTGTCAGCTTGTGTTTGTGCATCTAATTTTTGATAGATCAGTAACTAGCATATTACATTTGTATCCAAATTTTTAAAATTCTAAAATTGGCTTTTGCGGAGCTTAACTTTCATATTTGGAATCAAAAACTTAAAAAAATACATAAATTTAGATTTTAACATTAGAGAATGCAAATTGGCAAATTTGTAAGAAATTTTATTAACCCACTTAAAGTTTCCTGCAATTACTGCTGATTGCAACCAATAACTTAACAAATAAGGGGATTCTGACTTGAAAATTATAAAAGCAATGATACATTGTATAGCTAAAATTAAAAAAATTCTTTTAAGAAATGTTTGTTAGTACATTCTACAGGCTAGAAATACAACAACGAATAAAGAATCATCCCTATTCTCAAAAACTGAAAAATGTAAATAGAAAAATTGAAGCTGAGTAAAAAACAAAACATTTATTTTCGTTAAGTATGCATACTAATCTTATGGTTCTGGTCAAAGAAATGTGAGGAATTTAGAAATCTTATCATCTTTACTTCCAAGTATTCTACCTTTCTTTTTCCCTGAGTATGATAATTCAAAAGAATGACATACCCATGCTCCTGGGTAGGAAGAATCAATATCGTGAAAATGGCCATACTGCCCAAGGTAATTTATAAATTCAATGCCATCCCCATCAAGCTACCAATGACTTTCTTCACAGAACTGGAAAAAATACTTTAAAGTTCATATGGAACCAAAAAAGAGCCCGCATTGCCAAGTCAATCCTAAGCCAAAAGAACAAAGCTGGAGGCATCACGCTACCTGACTTCAAACTATACTACAAGGCTACAGTAACCAAAACAGCATGGTACTGGTACCAAAACAGAGATATAGATCAATGGAACAGAACAGAGCCCTCAGAAATAATGCCACATATCTACAAATATCTGATCTTTGACAAACCTGAGAAAAACAAGCAATGGGGAAAGGATTCCCTATTTAATAAATGGTGCTGGGAAAACTGGCTAGCCACATGTAGAAAGCTGAAACTGGATCCCTTCCTTACACCTTATACAAAAATTAATTCAAGATGGATTAAAGATTTAAATGTTAGACCTAAAACCATAAAAACCCTAGAAGAAAACCTAGGCAATACCATTCAAGACATAGGCATGGGCAAGGACTTCATGACTAAAACACCAAAAGCAATGGCAACAAAAGCCAAAATTGACAAATGGGATCTAATTAAACTAAAGAGCACAGCAAAAGAAACTACCATTGGAGTGAACAGGCAACCCACAAAATGGGAGAAAATTTTTGCAACTTACTCATCTGACAAAGGGCTAATATCCAGAATCTACAATGAACTCAAACAAATTTACAAGAAAAAAACAAACAACCCCATCAAAAAGTGGGCAAAGGACATGAACAGACACTTCTCAAAAGAAGACATTTATGCAGCCAAAAAACGCATGAAAAAATGCTCACCATCACTGGCCATCAGAGAAATACAAATCAAAACCACAATGAGATACCATCTCACACCAGTTAGAATGGCAATCATTAAAAAGTCAGGAAACAAGTGCTGGAGAGGATGTGGAGAAATACGAACACTTTTACACTGTTGGTGGGACTATAAACTAGTTCAATCATTGTTGAAGTCAGTGTGGCGATTCCTCAGGGATCTAGAATTAGAAATACCATTTGACCCAGCCATCCCATTACTGGGCATATGCCCAAAGGACTATAAATCATGCTGCTATAAAGACACATGCACATGTATGTTTATTGCGGCACTATTCACAATAGCAAAGACTTGGAACCAAGCCAAATGTCCAACAATGATAGACTGGATTAAGAAAATGTGGCACATATACACCATGGAATACTATGCAGCCATAAAAAATGATGAGTTCATGTCCTTTGTAGGGACATGGATGAAATTGGAAATCATCATTCTCAGTAAACTATCGCAAGAACAAAAAAACCAAACACTGCATATTCTCACTCATAGGTGGGAATTGAACAATGAGAACACATGGACACAGGAAGGGGAACATCACACTCTGGGGTGGGGTTCTGTTGTGGGGTGGGGGGAGGGGGGAGGGATAGCATTAGGAGATATACCTAATGCTAAATGACGAGTTAATGGGTGCAGCACACCAGCATGGCACATGTATACATATGTAACTAACCTGCACATTGTGCACATGTACCCTAAAACTTAAAGTATAATAATAATTTAAAAAAAGAAAAAAAAAGAAAAAAAAGAAAAAAGAATGATGTATACCCATGGTCAATTAATAAGCAATAATAGTCCCCCCAACATATCTTCTAATTCTTCTTATTCCAACATTCATACCTTGACTCTCTGAAGATATGCCATAAAAAATGTTGGTTTTCTGCCATGGGTCTAATTATTTATATTAAAGACTCAAAGGAATAAAGAGAGCTGAAAACAGAACTATAGCTAGCTATAAGGACCAATAAAACCTACACCTACTTACTAAATTCTGTAGCTGTTTTTGTAATAAAAGGTTTAGCTCTGTGCATCTAGCACATTGGTAAGTATATCAAATTCACATGTTAAACATGCAGCATCTTCCTAGAAAATATAGTTTCCTTGAAGATTTGGAAAACGAATGTGATGAATTGTGGAACTCTTAAAAGTGTGAAAGCAAAACCTACAGTTTACTATTTTTCCTTTGGCAGTTCATTCTCATGGTGTTTGATAAAGTTAAGAAAGCTGAAAACTTTTGTGCAGCAAAAAATTTGGTATTAGGCAATATGGCAGTATTCATTTTCTCACATTCAGAAGACCATATTATTGCCAAGAGATAAATTTACGCTAACATCACAGGTCTGCAGAGAAGACTAGCACTAATTTACCAGCAAGGGCAAGAGACACAGCATTCTGTAGAGTGTCCAAAACACCTACACAACCATCAGTTTTCTTAAAATTAGTTTGACACTGTACAAGTAAAATTTAGAGATGAATCTCTAAGCAAAAGGTTTTATTTGAAAACACATATAAAAACAGGATTGCAATTTAGCTTATAAACACTGACTAGGGTAGTCTTTGGTGTTCCAAAGAAAAAAGGAAAATTTGGGGCTTTACTGGAGAAGAGAAATGTTATGCAAATTGTTTTAAAAGCTCATTAGCACTAGTAAAGTTTTTTTGGGTTGTTGGCAAACTGATTGGTGAGTAGCAGTGGTAGGTAAACTAGTTTTAGAATCACAGAAGGTTGCTTTGGCAGCTACTATGTAAAACTGGTCTTAAGGTTACAGCAGGTCGTTTTGGCAGATAAGCTTGTGAGATAATCTCTGGAGCAGGTGTTTTGTGACCTTAGTGCTTCTTCTCCCTGGTCCCTCAACTATAATTTAGTTGGGTCTGAAAAAAATAACTCCAATTTGTAAAGTCAATTTTCACATTTTCCCCTTTTGTTCAAGATCTTTCTATGAAAATATCACTGATCAACCATCCTGAAGTTAGGTTTAATTGTCTCTTAATGCTGGGATATCCTAATTGTGTCTGGTCCCAAATTGAGAGCAAAGTATGGGAATCAGTGTTAGAAACCCAGGCCACATTTGTGGCCAGAAAGAAAACCTCTCAGGGCAGGCTTGCCTGGAGTCCAGCAGAGACTTCCAGCTTACCAGTCCCATATACATTAGCAATCATCTTGAAGTATTCTGCTAACATTATTCTTTTGTGAGGACTGGTTTTACAAAGATTAGACAGGCAAGAAAAATGGAGCTTAAAGATCTCAATGCAAAGAATGATCAGGAATAATATCATAAATTCCACTTTAAATAATTGTTCTCAACCATGAACCCAATTTTGAAGGTAATCAACTGAACAGATCAAAAAGTCCAGATGTATCTGCTGAAACTTTTTGGAGCCAAGTGGCTTGCTTGCTTATCTTGTGTAATTGCCGCTTTACTTCTCCAGAGGAATTTATCCATGTGCAGCAAACAGTGTTAGCAACTGCACAAATACTACCTTGTTTAGCTAATAAATAATCCAGAGCAATCCTGCTATCAAATGCCACTTTAGCAAAATAATCTAAGGAAGTATTTTTCAGCTGCAATAGCTTTAGCTGTGGAGTTGACTATGGACCAAATTGTTAAGGATAAATTTCTGATGATTGTTCCTAAGTGGCTAATTCTGATGCTAGGGAAAAAAGATTTAACAACTGAGGCCCATCTGCTAGATTTATGCCTCCTGACAAAGTGTCTCTTTTAAATATCACGATGTAACCTAAGAGGTAGGAACCAATAATGTTTAAATTTTGCTGATTTAAATTTAATACAGAAGTATTTCAAACCACATTGGTCTTTTAATTTTCCATTTCTTAAGATGTAATGTTGCCCAAACAGGTAGTTGACTTTTGAATCCCCCACAGATGAAAATGTATTCCAATGGAACACAAGAGGTAATTCCATAGGGACTACCTTGTGTATTAACAATTACTCATAAGGAGGTGTCAGCACCATTTTGCCAAGATTACATTACTGAACTATTGCATTGCTGGAGGCCATCAAAAATTAGAAGACCAGGGGAAGGAATAGTTTTGCAATCTGTTGAATTTCTTTTATCTTGAGTACTCTTACCATATTTTTCTTTATATAATATTAATCTAATTTTAAAGTCTTTTGTGTAGACCTTAGATACTGTTAGGGTAAAGCGTGAAATCTGCATATGTAAATCTCAAAACTTGATCTTATGAAAAGAACCAGATACACAATTTGAACAGTTCATTGGAAACATTAGTAAAATATGTTATGGGGTAAAATAAAGATTAACTTGCATAATGAACAGATGGGAAGTTGTGGTGACAAATCCAATAGCCAGTTGTGTGTCTCCCTTTGGCAATAGATTGGAAAATGTGAATTATAGCATTGTCTTTCCAGGAAAATAAAGGCATATAAGAAGAGACCAATTTTTTTTTTATATAAAAAAGAGTATATATCCTGGTCTGGACATGTTGGGAGGGAAGTCTACTTCAGATGTCATCTGCTTCAATTCTGGAAGAACTTTAGTTTTAAAACCCTTGTTGGAGTATTGGTCCAGTCAGGAGTGGGGGACTTTTAAAAATAAGATATGTAGATCCACAAGTCAGTGCCTTTGAGCTTTGCAGCAAAGGGATTGGTGAAAAGGGCTTGATATGGACTCTTCTAATAAGGCTGGTGAGAATCTTTATGTAGATATCTTTCCAGTAGACAAAGTCACCAGGTTGCACATCGTGGTGCTCTAGGTCTTTATCTCCTGAGTGCACCAAGAAAAGATTGTTCTGCCAAAGTACAATTTTTATCCATTGTCTAATAATGCTTTTGCAATATAGAAGTATATCTCCTTTTATTAACTGATGGTCAAAAGTAGAGAGAGACAAGTTCCTGTGATTATTTCAAAATGTGAATGTTTGCGAGCCTTAAAGGGAATGACTCTCCAATTTAATATCAAAAGAAGAATCTTAGATCAGGAAAGGTTAAGGTTTTCATATATTTTGCCAACTGGGTTTTTTGTTTGTTTGTTTGTTTGTTTGTTTTTGGAGTCTCACTCTGTCACCCAGGCTGGAGTGCAATGTCACGATCTAGGGTCACTGCAACCTCTGCCTCCCAGGTTCAAGAAATTCTCTGACTCAGCCTCCTGAGTAGTTGGGATTACAGGTGCCCACCACCATACCCGGCTAATTTTTGTATTTTTTTTTTTAAGTAGAGATGGGGTTTCACCATGTTGGCCAGGCTGGTCTCAAATTCCTGACCTCAGGCAATCCACCTGCCTCGACCTCCCTAAGTGTTGGGATTACAGGCGTGAGCCACCGTGCCTGGCCACCAACTAGGTTTTTATAGTTCCACTTATTTATTTTATAAAATCAGAAGCTTGGGGATAGTAGGCACACTGGAAATGCTGTAAAATTGGTCAAATTTAACATACCTACTGTATTAGTCCATTTTCACACTGCTATAAAGAATTGCCTGAGACTGGGTAATTTATAAAGAAAAGAGGTTTAATTTACTCATAGTTCTGCATTGCTGGGGAGATCTCAGGAAACTTACAAGCATGGTGGAAGATGAATGGGAAGCAGGCATCTAAAGCAGGCACACACACACACAAACACACACACACACACACACACACACACACACACACACAAAATACAGGCCAGGCACAGTGGCTCATGCCTGTAATCCCAGCACTTTGAGAGGCTGAGGTGGGTGGATCATGAGGTCAGAAGATCAAGACCATCCTGGCTAACATGGTGAAACCCCATCTCTGCTAAAAACACACAAAAAAATAGCCGGATGTGGTGGTGGGCACCTGTAGTCCCAGCTATTTGGGAGGCTAAGGCAGGAGAATGACGTGAACCTGGGAGGCGGAGCTTGCAGTGAGCCTAGATTGCACCACTGCACTCCAGCCTGGGTGACAGATCGAGACTCTGTCTCAAAAAAACAAAAGAAAACAAACAAACAAAATCAGCCTTCTTCACAAGGTGGAAGGAGAGAGAAAGAACAAGGGGGTAAGTACCACACTTTAAAACCATCAGATCTCATGAGAGCTCACTCACTATCAAAGGGCAGCATGGGAGAAACCGTCCACATGATCCAAACACCTCCCACCACGTCCCTCCCTCAGATTACAATCTGAGATGAGATCTGAGTGGAGACACAGAGTGAAACTATATAATCTACAATATTACATGACCAATAAAGTGGATTCCCTAGTTACTATAAAGAAAAAGGGAGTCCCCTACATGGGAATAATTTTCTCTAGAAGAATTTTGGCCATGGCTGAAGCAATGGCTTGTCTACAAGAAAAGGCTTCCACCCAATTGAAAAACATAGAGATTATACTAATATGTATGTATCCAAAGGAGACGCGTAGCTGGAAAAAGTCCATTTGCCAAATCTCAAATGACCCATTAGGTAAATTAAAATGTCCAGGAATGGTGTGTGTAGTATTTCTTGGACTAAACTTAGTACCACTAGTACAAGCCAAATAAGCACTTCTGGCAGACTTTTTAATGTCACCCCACCAATATCATTTCATAAAAGAAATAAATGTGTTAGTTGTCTATGAGTCAAATTATGAATTATAGTTAACAGTAGATAGCTCGATGAATCTGGGAAAATTGGTTTATTTTCATGTCCAAATCAGAGTTCTTTTTTAATCACAAAACTAGCTGCCATGATTCTCCCAATTATTTTCTAGTTTCTGGTACTCAATTTTGTGCATCTTTGAACCATCTTAATGTTCTTTTTGTGAGGCCATGACAAAGATTTGATCAATTGAAACTTTAAGAGCAGCATTACTAGCAGCATTATAGGCAAAGTAGTTTTCTCTAGCCTCCATAGAATCTTCTAACCCCCACTGAGTCCAATCTTAAATGTCCAAGAATTTTGACAATAGTCAAAACAGCTGGTACCTATGTGGCATCCAATAAGTCTTATACATAGGATCTATTTTTTATTTGACCTCCAATGAAAGTAAGATAGCACCTTTGCTTCCATAAAATCCTGAAATCATGAGCAACCAAGAAAGCATAACTACAGTCTGTGAATTCGTATTAGCAGATTTCCCTTTAGTAAGGAGGCAAGCCTGAGTAAGGGCATAAAGTTCAGCTTTGTGGGTAGAAGTAACAATAGCTAAGGGTGCAACCTCGATATCTTTAAACTAAGTAGCAATTGTATATTCTTCACCTTATTTACCAATGTCATCCTTTAAATATGCTCCATCTGTAAATCATGATAGTTCAGCATTGTCTAATAAAGCCTCTTATAAATCTTTATGCTGAGTTAAAAGATAGTCAGAGGCAAAAAGTAATAGGGATGGGTCCACACCAGAAGGAGGGGTAAAAAAAAGTAGAAGAATTAACATTGTTCTATTGAAAATGAGTTATGTAAGGAGCAGCTAGCCAAAAAAAAAAGTTTATAAGAGGTAAAATTACTGGCAAATAGGTGTTAAGTATGATGTGAATGTAGAAGAATTTAACAGCATGGAAAATAAAAAATGGTTGAAGGATATTCCATGACCATTTCTTCAGTGAAGTGACTAGTAGAGCAGTAGTTACAATAGTTCTCAAATGAGGAGGTAATTCTTGAGCTACTGAGTCTACTTGTTGGCTGTAATATCCAGTGGGACAGTGTTGATCTCCATGTTTTTCAGTTAGGACACTCAAGGCATTTTCTTTCTTTTCATAAACAAAAAGAAAAAAAGGGAGTTGATAATTAGAGACCCCCAGGGCAGAGGGATTTAAAAATCCCTCTTTAATCTAATAAATGCAATGTCTTTAGATTTTTTCCCTACAATGGGATCAGGCTTAGAAGCCTTGAGTAGGACATGCAGGGTTTTAGTAATCAAAAAAATTTGATATTCAGTTATGGCAGGGATTAGCAAGTCCAAGAAACCCTCAAAGTTGCCATTTAGTTTGGGGTTTATGGAACTGCGGGACACCTTGGATCTGTTCAGGGTTTAAATGTAGCCCTGTTTGAAAAATCAGATAACCCAGATGTTTAACTTGGGTTTTAACTAATAGTAACTTTTCTTTAGAAAACTATAATCTTTTATGGCTAGAAGTTTTCATAAACGCACACTGTCTTCCTCACAGGATACCTGTATGGGAGAGCAAAGAAGTTATCTGCATACTATAGTAAGGATGAGCCTTAGGGGAAAGTTACATATTCTAAATTAACTTTCAGAATTTGAGAAAGATTGGAAAGACTTTCAGTTTAGTATTGAGGCGTAATAGTCCAAGTATATTGTTGTCCTTCCCAAATGAAGGCAAATGGATATTGACTGGTTTGATCAAAAGGGATGCTAAGGAAAGCACCACAGAGGTAAATTTCAGTGGACAATTTACTATAAGTTGGTATTGAGGTCAACAAATTATGTGGATTTGGGACTATGGTATAGCATGATATAACAATATTATTTATCATTTATAAATAATATTATAAATTACAAATAACAAACAAATAAATTATAAATAACGGAAACCCTGAACAAATCTATACCTGTAAACATTAGATTTTCTCACTGGGAGAATGGGAGTGTAACAGAGACTGGTGCAAGGAATTTTTAAGCCTTGAGTTTTGTGTTCTTCAATGATGGGTCCTACTCCTTGTAAGGTACATTGGCCCAAAGGATTTTGTTTTGTATGAAGCAAGGGCTTTGTTCAATCAATTTGGATTTTAACCAGGGTGCACTATGGCTCTGTGTTGATGACGTGGCCCGTGAAAAGACAGGTACCTGTTTCGATAAAAAATTCTGGGAGCCAGCAGGAATATCTTTGGTGTTGGGACAATGTAACATATAAGCAGGGCATCAAAAGTAGAGTCCAGTGGATTGTTCTTATCAATTATTTTTTCTTTTTGGGAGAAAGAGATGCCAGCGTGATATTTTTCCAAAATGAGCTGGAGTAGATTCCGCCAGTAAGAAGAGATAGGTATCCTGTAATGGCTTAAGGTGAAAAGTAATAGGCTGGGACAGAAAAGCCATCAATGGTTCATCTAAAACTCCCCCATTTAAATATTTTCATTACTCCAAGGCAGGAGCTGGTTGAGGTTAGTGGAGTTGAACACCAATAGGGTTGCTCCTGTATCTATATAAACAGTCAGGACCTCATTGCCAATTTAGAGTGGTCTCCCCAAGGTGATTAAGTGGAAGAATTGGAGAAAGCTCCTGTATGTTCTCAAAGCCCCTCCATAGGGAAGGAGAAGCAGAAGGCTTAAGTGAAGAAGACTGTTTATAAACTTAAAACTGATTGCTTACGTTAACAGTTTTTCTTCCATTAGCCTTGGCTATTTACAATAATGACAGATGCCAAGAGGTGGCTTTTGTGGATTAAAGGTGTGTCATTTAGAGACCAAATTGTTTTCTCTGGGAGCATTCATGTTGCAATTGGAGGTTTAGGATTTTAGTAGTCTTCTTTTTATTAGTATTCTTTATGGTGCAAGCCAACTGATTTGCCAAATTAACAAATTCAGCAGGTGGTGTGGTCTCCCCCTCCATGTGAACTTTTTTTTTTTTAACTCACAGAGAAAGTTCTTGGTTGAGATCCTTGGCAAACATAGAGTAAAAGGTAAGTCTAGTATAGTCAACATCCATAGGTAGGCCAACGTTTTCTCTGAATATAACCAGGAGTCTCTTATAATAGTTATGAATTGGTTCATTTAGCTCTTGGGTATAAGCTTAAATTTTCCAATCTAAGGCTTTATAAAATGGATTGAGGATGGCACTCTATAAATTGAAAGTTGTTGAGCCAGTTTCTAATATTGTAGGTCTGATTCCGGGACTGGGCACAGATATTGCTAAATCCAGTTGGGGATGGGTCCAATTGGCTTTTGCTATTCAGTGTTGGGCCTGGCCTTCTCCCACAGCATGCAAATAAGTTGATAAAGACAAGAGAATTTGGGCTGGTAAGCCTGAACTGTAATGTTAAATTTATTGGTAACATAACGAGAGTCCTCCATAACCTTGGGAAATTCTTTGGCTATAGCACAGAGTTCTGTTTTACTCCAAAAGACATAGGACATCTGAAGAATCTCAGAATCAGTAGAAGTTAATCCTTATGGGGACAGGGTTTGTAGGTTGAGGTTGGGAAGCAGAAAGGGGAGAAGAAATAGGGCAAGAAATATCAGAGAACAAGGGAAGTTCAGAAGGTGAAGAGAGGAGAGACAGTAGGTGGCACCTAATAAACAGAAAGAATTTGAGTTCCTAAAGCCTTTCTTTCTCCATCCTTCATTTATTCCAGTTAACTTAGAGAAAGTATTTTGGGGCAAGGCAAATTTTGAATCTTGAATATATTATATGGACACCTCCAGATACCAATTAAGGTATACATTCAATTCGGAATGTTTGGTTTTATAGACTAAACTTCTCAGGTATTTCTGAGAAAAACAAGTTTAGGGAAGTCAAAAAAAAAATCAGGAATGTCATTGCAATTCCCAGTTGTCTTTAGTATAATCAGCCCATTGCAATAAGAAAGCACGTGCTGATGTGCCATAATGCTTAAGCATAAAACCAGCTGGAGTCCCTGATGGGGGGGTACAGGTGTGTATCTTGGCTTGCCTTCAAACATCAAGGGCCCATTTTCTGAATAAATTTATCTAGGCAATTTGATTTAACACAAAATACACAGAAGCCAAAATAAAAACCAAGAACACAAAATGAATAAAAGAATGAAGTATGTATTCACCAGGAAGAGGGACAAAGACTTCTTTAAAAGAAGGGAAGTCCTTCATAAACAGGAGTGGAAAAAACCCTCAGAAAATCTAATTTCAAATAAAACTGTACAACTCAGACAGCAGGACATGGGGTTTGGATCCGAGGTAGAGACTCACCAGGCAAAAAGGGTACACACCAAAGTGGGGCTCAAGGGGTCCATGTATTGGTACCTCACGCCATGGTTCTGGGGGCCATAGAATCTCTCCAGGCAAGTTCAATTCAGACTCCACTTATGACAATAAATATGTCAAAATCAAATAAACTGTAGAGACAAAACTCTGAGCAAATGTTTTCATTTGAAAATATATACAAAAATAGAATTGCAATTTGAGGGATAGGCACAAACTGGGATGCCCGAAGAATAAAGAATTTGGTGGTTGGGGTTTTATTGGGAAAAACATGTTACATAGAGTCATTTTGAAAGAAAGTTCATTGGCTTCAGTGTAGTTTTTCAGGAACTGGCAACCTCTGATTGGTGGGTGACAATGGTAGGTAAAACTAGTCTTAGGGTCAGAACATGTCATTTTGGCAGCTACTGGGTAAAACTGGACTTACTGTTATAGCAGATGGTTTCAGCAGCTGGGTTTATGAAACAGTTCCTGGAGCAGGTGCTTTGTACCTGAGTGATTTTTTCCCTGGTCCCTCAACTCAAATCTAATTGCATTAGACAAGAATAACTCCAATTCCTATAATCAATTTTCACGACACATAATGAATTTAAATTCTTATGATAATTCTACCTGATCGAATGTGTGTGTTGCTTTGTTCCATTTGTAAGTACACCTTACCTATCCATTAATGTATTCTGGGAAAGTGCTTCAGGAATTTCTTTGGGAAGTATATATGTCAGCTGACTTAGTACCTTAGAGTTGTTTTCTTTTTTTTTTTTAAATCAAGATTCTTGACCTTATCTCTTATTTTATTGTCACCACACCTCTTTATTGCATAGTTTTGCATATGGAATCAAAATTTGTCTTCATAGTGTACAATCACTGATTCTAGTTCACTTTCCAGACCAAATCAAAATAGCTAGGATCTTCTTTTATGGAATTATAATGACATCCTGAAAATGGAAAGGACTGTTAGCCCAACATCCCTGGTATTAAATTCTACTTCTGACATTTATTAATATGTGTAATGTCATCTGAATAACATTTTCCTCGAATTTTTAAAATTTTACTTTCTCATTCAAAGGGTCATTTTGAACATTATGAGAGGTAAAGTAGGTAAAAATACTAAGCATTTTTATCTCAGAGAAAAACAGATCTTGAAAATCCCTTTATATAATTTGAGTTTAGATCCTCACTTCTTTAGTCACCCCACTTTCAAACACTTAACAACTTCTCAATGACTCTTAAAATGTTGAACCCCAATTTGGGAAGCCGAGGTGGGTGCATCACTTGAGCTCAGGAGTTCAAGACCAGCGTGGGCAACATGGTGAAACCCCATCTCTACTAAAAAATAAAAATACAAAATACAAAATACAAAAAATAGCCAGGCATGGTGGTGTACATCTGTGGTCCCAGCTTTGGAGGCTAAGGTGGGACGATCACTTGAGCCTGGGAGGTGGAGGTTACAGTAAGCGGAGATCAGGCCATTGCAACCTAGCCAACGCAACAAAGTAAGTCCCTGTCTTAAAAAACAAAAAATGTTGAACCCAAAAATGCAGAGCATATTTCAATTATTTTCTGTAATCTGTATAGATATTTATAAGTTATATCATATTTAAAGTCAATTAAGAGAAAATATGTATGGAGTAGATATTTTAATCCTGAAAAGAAACCTCTTATAATTGAATTAACTTATAATTGAATTAAATAATTAAGCCCATAATAGAGCAACCTGTAGTACTATCAGATTTTAGCTTTCCTACTTGTGTTAGCAGTAAGATTTCTAATTAGTTATATAACTTAGTATTTATGTTTTAAGAATGGCAAACTTGTTTTAATAAATGTAGAAATATTGTCCTGAGTCTATAGTGAAAGCTAGAGACAGATTGTAGAAAAGAGAGGAGGCAATGCTAAAGGGAAGGAGAAATGCAAGTGAAGAATTGAACACTTGTCTGCATCAGTCACATCAGTGCCAGGGCAATAATAAGGAGAAATTGAAACAAACTACCTTATACTTCCCGTAGCTCCCTCAAGGAGTCTATACTTGACACACATTTGTTTGTGCTGCAGGGCTTAAGTAAAATTTATATGAGTCTGTTTAATGTTTTGGGGCATTAGTGACTTATAGGAAAGTGAAAGTATTTCATAATTCATGTAAGTCTATTTTACAAGAAGAAATACCTAAGTTCAAGAATTTGTTAGTTCAAGGATATCGAGGCATAAAAATAAAATGTGAGCAACTCAGAAAATAGACTGGAAATTAGATGTAAACATATCTGGAAACATCTGGGTGACTGACTCATAAACTGACCTAAATCACTTTCTGAGGTAGAAAAGTTATGAAGAGTTAACATTATCATGACATGTCAGTGGATGGATTCGTAAATAATAATGATAATATGCATCATTTGTTCAGGACTCCTTTAGGTAAGATGGAGCTATTATTTAAATTTTAAAGCCAGACATGCCTTTAAAATGGAAGATTCCATATTCCAGGATCTGTATGAACAAGCCATTTCAATGAAACAAAACTGGTTTATCTATGGTTAAACAAATTCCTCAAATCCCAAAATAACCTACACATGGACCTAACTATCGGGGAACCTGCCCCGATAGTCACGTAGGTTCTTTTCTCTTTTCCCTAAGTGTAGGCGGGTTTGAGAAATAAAGGGACAGAATACAAAAGAGAGAAATTTTAAAGCTGGGTGTCTGGGGGAGACATCACGTATCAGTAGGTTCCGTGATGCCCCATAAGCCGTAAAACCAGTAAGTTTTTATTAAGGAGTTTCAAAAGGGGAGGGAGTATACGAATAGAGTGTGGGTCACAGACATCACATACTTCATAAGGTAATAGAATATCACAAGGTAAATGGAGGCAGGGCGAGATCACAAGACCACAGGACCAGGGCGGCGAAATTAAAATTGCTAATGAAGTTTCGGGCACGATTGTCATTGATAACATCTTATCAGGAGACAGGGTTTTGAGAGCAACTGGTCTGACAAAATTTATTAGGCGGGAATTTCTTCTCCCTAATAAGCCTGGGAGGGCTATGGGATACTGGGGTCTATTTCACCCCTACAGTCTACAGATCATAAAACATGGCCACACCCTGGGGACCGTCTATAGACCTACCCCCAGGCATGTATTCTCTTTCCCAGGGATGTTCCTTGCTGAGAAAAAGAATTCAGTGATATTTCTCCCATTTGCTTTTGAAAGAAGAGAAATATGGCTCTGTTCCGCCCGGCTCACTGGCAGTCAGAGTTTAGGTTTATCTCTCTTATTCCCTGAACAATTGCTGTTATCCTGTTCTTTTTTCAAGGTGCCCAGATTTCATATTGTTTAAACACACATGCTCTACAATTTGCGCAGTTAACGCAATTATCACATGGTCCTGAGGCGACATACATCCTCCTCGGCTTACGAGATGGCAGAATTAAGAGATTAAAGTAAAGACAGGCCTAGGAAATCACAAGGGTATTGATTGGGAAAGTGATAAGTGTCCATGAAATCTTCACAATTTATGTTTAGAGATTGCAGTAAAGACAGGCATAAGAAATTATAAAAGTATTAATTTGGGGAACCAATAAATTGTTCATGAAATCTTCACAATCCACGTTCTTCTGCCATGGCTTCAGCCGGTCCCTCCATTTGGGGTCCCTGACTTCCCACAACACCTAACTTCATAAGTGAAACTGGCACAAAAATGGAAGCAGATAAGCAATTAACTTCTTGTGGTTTTAGAGTGCATCAGTGAAGGCATACTTCTGAAAAACAGGCTGCCAGCCTCAGTGTAGGGTGGCTATTTTGGCATGGACAGATCCATTAACTAAATAATTAAAAGAGCACTTGGCCCTGATATCCTGAACAGATTCCAGCTGGGTTATTATATACACTTATTGCCATTTTAATCTGCCCTGAAATTTCAACTGGGCTCAAAGTTTTCCTTAATCCTCTATCCTAAAATAGTATTTGTTGAATATAGGGTGTTTTTCTTCTACTACTGTTTGTGCCCAATTGTCTGGCATTATTCCCACAAATTACAAGCAAAGTTCACTTTGTAGTTTTCAGTGAGAACATTAAAACAGAACCTAATCTGAAGAAAAATATGGTGACAAAATGTGTTCAATTTCAATGAGTCTCAATGGGACTGTAGGAAACTAAAAAAATTAATATTATAAAATACAGTTGATAAGCTAGGTTAACTATGGAAATGGATTCCCACATGAGGACTTGAACACATACTAGATGTCTGTATTACTTTATATATAGCTGCACAGAAAAGTCACTAATGCAGAATTACTGTCACAGGCTATTTCACAACATTTGATAATTTTTAAAAAATAATTTTTATTATGGGATGGCCTGCACTCTACAATTTTAGATTTTCTTTTACAGTTTCCACAGAGTAAAATCATAAAATAATATGGATATATACATACATACATACATACATATTGCAATATGTATGTGGTATTAATTTCTCAGTTCTCCTTTATAAAGTGAGAACCTAGAAATTAGGCTTTCACTTTACAATGAAAATATCCAAAGTTGTTACATTTGTCCTTTCACCTGTATGAACATATCCCACTTTGTCAATAACCCCTCAACAAATAATGTACTTTAAAATAAGAATCCATTGTAAATAATTAGACATTTTGTTTATTCAACGTCGATACTTGATCCTGAAGAAAATTTAGATAATTTTCGGAAATATTGCTTAAGATGGCCATGTCTATAGATATAGATATACACATACATATATATTAAATGCATTTAAAATAATTAAATTTAAATTTTAATGTTGATTATATTCTATAACATCATATAATGTCAGATGAGGAAGTAATGCGTCAAATTTGCATAGAAGATATGCTTTCAAAATTTGATATAAAGTTAGAAGAAGTACTAAACACATTGGTTCATGATAATAATGTACATTTACAGTAATGTTTCAGAATGTTTACCACTGTTTTTACTGTATCATATGAAAACTACACTAAGTGTAAAAAACATGTTTGAAATATAAGCTCACTAAAATATATCAAATTCACTTGTGGGATGGGGATATGGGAATGAGGAAAGGCTCAAAGGGCATATAAAGTATACTTTGAGTGCATGCAGCTGCTGCTACCACACACATGCACGACTTTATGATGAATGCTCAGGGTGAATGCAAAAGGAAGTTGTATATTTAATCACAGCTATTTACTGTCTTAAGAATACATAGGAGTCTGCCTAGTCATTGTTAATTTCATCTGAAATATGAACTTTTGATTTCAGCAAGATCCTAGAAAGTTTTGATTACCCTTGATATTTGTCCAGTGAGTATATTGTGGGTTGGGTTGACATTGACATGCAGTGTGCATTGTAGGTACCCAATACATATGGGATAATTTAGCATAACTATTAAATAATTTCCAAGTATGCATTACTGAAATGACCTGGGAATTAATGTTGCAGGGGACTCAAATGGGAATTTTAAAATACTCTTCTTTTAGGTCCTAATGATCTGACAACACTGCCTGAAAGACACGAGGGATTAGAAATCTGAATTGGGAACCTGATCTTTTTTCTTTAAATGACCTATGGATATAAGGCTAGGGCAGAAATCAGCCTGCAGGACATATTTGGGGGCATGAAATATCCCTCAAAGATTCCACAAATACCAAACTTTTGATAAATTTTAATTATCAAATTTCCATAATGCCTAATTCATGTTATGGTTATGATTAGGGTAACTTTGATTTTTTAACATAATAATAAGCTTTAACTTCCCACGGATAAATATATAAGATAGACATTTTCCCACTATCAGTAAATATAAAATACTTCTGGTCATCAATTACTGACCAGAGCATTTTATATTTATTTGATATAATTAAAGAAAATAATTTCATAGCAAAGATTGGCTGATCTTTAAAATCACCTTTCATTGGCTTCATTTGGCAAGAATTATGAATATGTGGTCACAAAGGAAAGTTTATTTACAGAAAGCTTGCCTCTGGAGTTACCTGCACAAATACAGCCTTGAAAAAAACATCTGTGGAAGGCAGGACTCATTTGGTTCCTAATAAAAGTTACCCTTGGGAAGGTTACTCAGTCTACCCAATCTTTCACTGCCACTGCATACTTTAGAAGGAAGAAAACAAGAACATCAAAGTCTTACTATTTTATATATAACTTTGTCAGTTACCAATTTAAGACCTTTTTAAAAATGCACAGTCAGCAATATAGTTGCAAAAGGTAAAAGGAACTTGAAGTCAACCCCCACTGTGCATGCGACCTCTGTGCTGACTATGGACTGTGAGCTGTTTGAAGAGAAACACTGGAAACAAAGAGCAGAGGAAACACAGAAAGGCATACACGCCTCATAGACAGCTTTCATCTGTTCTTCTCAATTGCAGTCATTGAAGGAAGTGGGAGGTGCAATGTGTCCTGAATAGTTTGGTTTGTATTTGACAACACAGGGGAGAAATATACAAAGCTCATACATGTCCACCAACCCTCAAACAGAGCAATTAAAGCAACCTGGTTCAAATTTGATTTCAAACGTGTTCAAAATTTGAGTAACTATTTTTGTATTTTATTTTTTTGTATACAGAAAATAATGTAGGTAGGATCATCTTTACAAAGAGAATAAACAGATTGCTGTGAAAAAAACATAGTGTCATAATTTCATCTCTCATTCATAGAAAAATATTTTTCATTAATATAGATTCTTTTGGCCTGGCATGGTGGCTCACGCCTGTAATCCTAGCACTTTCGGATGCCAAAGTGGGCGGATCACCTGAGGTCGGGAGTTTGAGACCAGCCTGACCAACATGCAGAAACCCTGTCTCCACTAAAAATACAAAATTAACCTGTCATGCCTGTAATCCCAGCTACTGGGGAAACCGAGGCAGGAGAATCACTTGAACCTGGGAGGTAGAGGTCTAGTGAGCCGAGATCACACCATTGCACGCCAGCCTGGGCAACAAGAGCGAAACTCTGTCTCAAAAAAAGTTTCTTTTCAGGTAATCAGCTTCAGGGAAAGATGCAAGAATTAGTGAGGAAGGCACTAAGTCCAACCTGGCAATCAGTGTGGTGACAGATGTCACCCAGAGCAGGCTCAAGCCCAGAACCCACATCTGCTAGTTTACACTTGAAGATGATTTCTCTAAACACAGGATATGTTTTGTTAATTGATAATCTGATTTGTTTGCATTGTCATATTGAAGAAGAAATAACTTAAAATTAACAGGAAAAAGGCACTGAAAAAACAAAGTTTAGATTAATATTTAATCTTAATAGAAGAAAAATCCATTTATATTTTCATGGCAAATTATGAACTAATTGCAGAATCTCCTGTTAAGGAATTCTATTAAAATAATTAGTAATGTTGAAGAAAACTAGTTACTCTGCTTTCAAATTTGTTTTTCCTACTTTCCAATAACTGACATTCTGTCAACCTATCACATTTCAGTCTCCAGCAGCTTTGAACAAAAAAGTCCAGAGAGAGTCTAGTAATTTTTATTTTCTCAATTCAGTTCAATAAAAATGTATTAAATATCTGCTATGTCACAGATACCATGTCAGAAAATATTGTAACATAATGAAAAACAAATGATTCTAGCTCCCAATGATACAAGCTTAATCCTAGGGAAAGGCAAGGATAGAGAAAAAGACTCAAAAACATGAGTTTAATACAAAACTTGGGTTCCCTAGGAACTGGGCCATGCCCAGTTCCTCGTTGTGAATCACAGGGCCAATCTTAGCTTCTGGAACACAATAAATGCTCAACAAGCATTTATAGGATGAATGCAAAAAAAAATTGTGGTTATTAGAGACTGGAAAGGGTGGGAGAGAAGGGAGCATAGGGAGAGGTTAGTTAAAAGATAGAAAATTATACCGGGTGGAGCCAAGATGGCCGAATAAGAACAGCTCCAGTCTGCAGCTCCCAGCGTGAGTGACGCAGAAGACCAATGATTTCTGCATTTCCAACTGAGGTACCGGGTTCATCTCACTGGGGATTGTCAGACAGTGGGTGCAGGACAGTGGGTGCAGTGCACCGAGCGTGAACCGAAGCAGGGCGAGGCATCGCCTCACCCGGAAGTGCAAGGGGTCAGGGAATTAACTTTCCTAGCGAAGGAAAGGGGTGACAGACGTCACCTGGAAAAACGGGTCACTCTCACCCTAATACTGCAGTTTTCCAATGGTCTTAGCAAAAGGCACACCAGGAGATTGTGTCCCATGCCTGACTCAAAGGGTCCTACGCCCACGGAGCCTTGCTCATTGCTAGCACAGCAGTCTGAGATCAAACTGCAAGGCAGCAGTGAGGCTGGGGGAGGGGCACCCGCCATTGCCGAGGCTTGAGTAGGTAAACAAAGCGGCTGGGAAGCTTGAACTGGGTGGAGCCCACTGCAGCTCAAGGAGGCCTGCCTGCCTCAGTAGACTCCACCTCTGGGGGCAGGGCATAGCCAAACAAAAGGCAGCAGAAACCTCTGCAGACTTAAATGTCCCTGTCTGACAGCTTTGAAGAGAGTAGTGGTTCTCCCAGCACGCAGCTGGAGATCTGAGAATGGACAGACTGCCTCCTCAAGTGGGTCCCTGACCCCTGAGTAGCCTAACTGGGAGGCACCCCCCAGTAAGGGCAGACTGGCACCTCACACAGCCAGGTACTCCTCTGAAACAAAACTTCCAGAGGAACGATCAGGCAGCAACATTTGCTACTCACCAATATCCTCTGTTCTACAGCCTCTGCTGCTGATACCCGGGCAAACAGGGTATGGAGTGGACCTCCAGTAAACTCCAACAGACCTGCAGCTGAGGGTCCCAACTGTTAGAAGGAAAACTAACAGAAAGGACATCCACACTGAAACCCCATCTGTACGTCACCATCATCAAAGACCAAAGGTAGATAAAACCACAAAGATGGGGAAAAAACAGAGCAGAAAAACTGAAAATTCTAAAAATCAGAGTGCCTCTCCTCCTCCAAAGGAACACAGCTCCTCACCAGTGACAGAACAAAGTTGGACGGAGAATGACTTTGACGAGTTGAGAGAAGAAGGCTTCAGATGATCAAACTACTCCGAGCTAAAGGAGGAAGTTTGAACCCATGGCAAAGAAGTTAAAAACCTTGAAAAAAAATTAGATGAATAGCTAACTAGAATAACCAATGCAGAGAAGTCCTCAAAGGACCTGATGGAGCTGAAAACCACGGCACGAGAACTACATGATGAATGCACAAGCCTCAGTAGCCAATTTTATCAACTGGAAGAAAAGCTATCAGTGATGGAAGATGAAATGAATGAAATGAAGTGAGAAGAGAAGTTTAGAGAAAAAAGAATAAAAAGATACGAACTAATCCTCCAAGAAACATGGGACTACATAAAAAGACCAAATATACATCTGATTGGTGTACCTGAAAGTGACGGGGAGAATGGAACCAAGTTGGAAAACACTCTGCAAGATATTATCCAGGAGAACTTCCCCAATCTAGCAAGGCAGGCCAACATTCACATTCAGGAAATACAGAGAACGCCACAAAGATACTCCTTGAGAAGAGCAACTCCAAGACACATAATTGTCAGATTCACCAGAGTTGAAATGAAGGAAAAAATGTTAAGGGCAGCTAGAGAGAAAGGTCGGGTAACCCACAAAGGGAAGCCCATCAGACTAACAGCGGATGTCTCAGCAGAAACTCTACAAGCCAGAAGAGACTGGGGGTCAATATTCAACATTCTTAAAGAACAGAATTTTCAACTCAGAATTTCATATCCAGCCAAACTAAGCTTCATAAGTGAAGGAGGAATAAAATACTTTATAGACAAGCAAATGCTGAGAGATTTTGTCACCACCAGGACTGCCCTAAAAGAGCTCCTGAAGGAAGCACTAAATATGGAAAGGAATAACCAGTACCAGCCACTGCAAAAACATGCCAAATTGTAAAGACCATCAAGGGTAGGAAGAAACTGCATCAACTAATGAGCAAAATCATCAGCGAACATCATAGTGACAGGATCAAATTCACACATAACAATATTAACCCTAAATGTAAATGGGCTAAATGCTCCAATTAAAAGACACAGGCTGGCAAATTGGATAAAGAGTCAAGACCCATCAGTGTGCTGTATTCAGGAAACCCATCTCACATGCAGAGACACACATAGGCTCAAAATAAAAGGATGGAGGAAGATCTACCAAGCAAATGGAAAACAAAAAAAGGCAGGGGTTGCAATCCTAGTCTCTGATAAAACAGACTTTAAACCAACAAAGATCAAAAGAGACAAAGAAGGCCATTACATAATGGTAAAGGGATCAATTCAACAAGAAGAGCTAACTATCCTAAATATATATGCACCCAATACAGGAGCACCCAGATTCATAAAGCAAGTCCTTAGAGATCTACAAAGAGACTTAGACTCCCACACAATAATAATGGGAGACTTTAACACCCCACTATCAACATTAGACAGATCAAGAAGACAGAAAGTTAACAAGGATATCCAGGAATTGAACTCAACTCTGTGCCAAGTGGACCTCATAGACATCTACAGAACTCTCCACCCCAAATCAATAGAATATACATTCTTCTCAGCACCACATTGCACTTATTCCAAAATTGACCACATAGTTGGAAGTAAAGCACTCCTCAGCAAATGTAAAACAACAGAAATTATAAGAAACTGTCTCTCAGACCACAGTGCAATCAAACTAGAACTCAGGATTAAGAAACTCACTCAAAACCGCTCAACTACATGGAAACTGAACAACCTGCTCCTGAATGACTACTGGGTACATAACGAAATGAAGGCAGAAATAAAGATGTTCTTTGAAACCAACGAGAACAAAGACACAATATGCCAGAATCTCTGGGACACATTCAAAGCAGTGTGTAGAGGGAAATTTATAGCCCTAAATGCCTACAAGAGAAAGCAGGAAAGATCTAAAATTGACACCCTAACATCACAATTAAAAGAACTAGAAAAGCAAGAGTAAACACATTCAAAAGCTAGCAGAAGGCAAGAAATAACTAAGATCAGAGCAGAACTGAAGGAAATAGAGGCACAAAAAACCCTTCAAAAAAATCAATGAATCCAGGAGCTGGTTTTTTGAAAAGATCAACAAAATTGACAGACCGCTAGCAAGACTAATAAAGAAGAAAAGAGAGAAGAATCAAATAGATGCAATAAAAAACGATAAAGGGGATATCACCACCGATCCCACAGAAATACAAACTACCATTAGAGAATATTATAAACACCTCTATGCAAATAAACTAGAAAATCTAGAAGAAATGGATAAATACCTTGACGCATACACACTCCGAAGACTAAACCAGGAAGAAGCTGAATCCCTGAATAGATGAATAACAGGCTCTGAAATTGAGGCAATAATTAATAGCTTACCAACCAAAAAATCCAGGACCAGATGGATTCACAGCCGAATTCTACCAGAGGTACAAGAAGGAGCTGGTACCATTCCTTATGAAACTATTCCAATCAATAGAAAAAGAGGGAATCCTCCCTAACTCATTTTATGAGGCCGGCATCATCCTGATACCAAAGCCTGGCAGAGACACAACACAAAAAGAGAATTTTAGCCCAATATCCCTGATGAACATCGATGCAAAAATCCTCAATAAAATACTGGCAAACCGAATCCAGCAGCACATTAAAAAGCTTATCGACCATGATCAAGTGGGCTTCATCCCTGGGATGCAAGGCTGGTTCAACATATGCAAATCATTAAATGTAATCCAGCATATAAAAGAACCAACAACAAAAACCACATGATTATCTCAATAAATGCAGAAAATGCCTTTGACAAAATTCAACAGCCTTTCCTACTAAAAACTCTCAATAAATTAGGTATTGATGGGACGTATCTCAAAATAATAAGAGCTATCTATGACAAACCCACAGCCAATATCATACTGAATGCACTGAATGGGCAGAAACTGGAAGCATTCCCTTTGAAAACTGGCACAAGACAGGGATGCCCTCTCTCACCACTCCTATTCAACATAGTGTTGGAAGTCCTGGCCAGGGCAGTCGGGCAGGAGAAGGAAATAAAGGGCATTCAATTAGGAAAAGAGGAAGTCAAATTGTCCCTGTTTGCAGATGACATGATTGTATATCAAGAAAACCCCATCATCTCAGCCCAAAATCTCCTTAAGCTGATAAGCAACTTCAGCAAAGTCTCAGGATACAAAATCAATGTGCAAAAATCACAAGCATACTTATACACCAATAACAGACAAACAGAGAGCCAAATCATGAGTGAACTCCCATTCACAATTGCTTCAAAGAGAATAAAATACCTAGGAATCCAACTTACAAGGGACGTGAAGAACTTCTTCAAGGAGAACTACAAATCACTGCTCAACGAAATAAAAGAGGATACAAACAAATGGAAGAACATTCCATGCTCATGGGTAGGAAGAATCAATATCATGAAAATGGCCATACTTCCCAAGGTAATTTATAGATTCAGTGCCATTCCCATGAAGCTACCAATGACTTTCTCCACAGAATTGGAAAAAACTAAAGTTCATATGGAACCAAAAAAGAGGCTGCATTGCCAAGTCAATCCTAAGTCAAAAGAACAAAGCTGGAGGCATCACACTACCTGACTTCAAACTATACTACAAGTCTACAGTAACCAAAACGGGATGGTACTGGTACCAAAACAGAGATATAGATCAATGGAACAGAACAGAGCCCTCTGAAATAATGCTGCATATCTACAACCATCTGATCTTTGACAAACCTGACAAAAACAAGAAGTGGGGAAATGATTCCCTATTTAATAAATGGTGGTGGGAAAACTGGCTAGCCATATGTAGAAAGCTGAAACTGGATTCCTTCCTTACACCTTATACAAAAATTAATTCAAGATGGATTAAAGACTTAAATGTTAGACCTAAAACCATAAAAACCCTAGAAGAAAACCTAGGCAATACCATTCAGGACATAGGCATGGGCAAGGACTTCATGTCTAAAACACCAAAAGCAATGGCAACAAAAGCCAAAATTGACAAATGGGATCTAATTAAACTAAAGACCTTCTGCACAGCACAAGAAACTACCATCAGAGTGAACAGGCAACCTACAACATGGGAGAAAATTGTTGCAATCTACTCATCTGACAAACGGCTAATATCCAGAATCTACAATGAACTCAAACAAATTTACAAGAAAAAACAAACAACCCCATCAACAAGTGGGTGAAGGATATGAACAGACACTTCTCAAAAGAAGACATTTATGCAGCCAAAAGACACATGAAAAAATGCTCATCATCACTGGCCATCAGATAAATGCAAATCAAAACCACAACGAGATACCATCTCACACCAGTTAGAATGGTGATCATTAAAAAGTCAGGAAACAACAGGTGCTAGACAGGATGTGGAGAAACAGGAACACTTTTACACTGTTGGTGGGACTATAAACTAGTTCAACCATTGTGGAAGTCAGTGTGGCGATTCCTCAGGGATCTAGAACTAGAAATACCATTTGACCCAGCCATCCCATTACTGGGTATATACCCAAAGGATTATAAATCATGCTGCTATAAAGACACATGCACACGTATATTTATTGTGGTACTATTCACAGTAGCAAAGACTTGAAACCAACCCAAAGGTCCATCAGTGACAGACTGGATTAAGAAAATGTGGCACATATACACCATGGAATACTAGGCAGCCATAAAAAATGATGAGTTCATGTCCTTTGCAGGGACATGGATGAAGCTGGAAACCATCATTAGCAAACTATCACAACGACAAAAAACCATACACCACATGTTCTCACTCATAGGTGGGAATTGAACAATGAGAACACATGGACACAGGAAGGGGAACATCACACACTGGGGCCTGTTGTGGGGTGAGGGGAGTGGGGAGGGATAGCATTAGGAGATATTCCTAATGTTAAATGACGAGTTAATGGGTGCAGCACACCAACATGGCACATGTATACATATGTAACTAACCTGCACATTGTGCACATGTACCCTAAAACTTAAAGTATAATTAAAAAAAGGAAAATTATATAGAAGAAATAGAAGTTCTAGTGATCTATAGCACTGTAGGGTGACCATAGTTAATAATTTATTATATATCTTTAAATAGCTAAAGTAGAGAATTTTGAATGTTGCAAAACAAAGATATAAAGACTTGAGGTGATGCATGTGCTAATTACTCTGATTTGATCATTACACATGACACACATTTATCTAAATATCTTAAATATCTAAATATTTATCTAAATATCTGTACCCCATATATAGTACAAGTATTACATGTGTGAAAAAACAGTGCAATGTTTTGGCCATAGTAATGAGTATGATGTGCTATAGCCGAATAGAAAAGAGACTTTCAGTGTGGCCTGAGGAGACCCTGGGAGGTACTCACTTGTTCTTCTCTCTGTCTCTCCGAACACACACACACACACACACACACACACACACCTCTCACAAACTTTACAGAAACTTTAATGGAGTGTTCAACTTCAGTTTGCAAAGATTCCTGCATAATTTTAAATTTATTGTTTTAAGTGCTGATTTTTTTTGGTACGTCTTGAGTCTGAATATTTAGTAGTTTCAGTAGTCCTCTGTTTAGGGTGGGTAACATGGCTGTGTTGTGAGTGCCTGTTCTGGTCCTGGGTGGGTTTGCCCACAAATCATTCCTCACTGGCTCCTGTTCTGCTCTGCTCTGTAGTATGGAGTGGATGATGTTGAGTCTGAATGTCCCAGGTTCTGAGATCAGTGGGCTTCAGCAGGATTCAATCTATGGGAGGCACTGGTGAGGGACTGGGTGGTGGAAGAAAAGAGAAACTAGAGCATATCTCTTTCTCCCACAGTGCCTGTGTTCTTCTATCCTGCCTCTCTCTGGGCAACTCAGGCTCCTGAGTTACAGTTGCTTTGCATCTCTAATAGGCACTTTCTGCTGTGGCTGACCCCTGGGTTGCTTCAATGTCTCTTTTTCTGTTTGGCTTCTCAACTATTCTATCACCATGTAAACAATCTCTTGCATAAAATTCATTGAGTTTTAAATACCCAGGGTAATTTTTGTATTAATACTTAATACAAATTGTGCTTATTGTTTTACATGTATTCTTTTATTCAATTGTTTCAAGAACTCTAGACTGTCAGTGTGACTATTTTCCTAGTTTTGCAGACAAAGCAACTGAAGCTTACAGAGTTAATGTGACTCATTCGAGGCTACTTTATAAATAGCTAGCAGAACCAGGACTTATACCCAGCCTTTAACTACACTAACACTGCTTGTCGTGGGTACTATTTGTATATTGCCTCAGAGCTAGGCATCATTTCATACTAGTGCCAGCTTCCTTGCCTTTTAGCTATAGTCTACATTTGTTACTTGCTACTTTAAATATTATGCATTCTGGGAAATCGTACAATTAAACTTGCTAGAACTGAATCTACAATGTGGGGCTATGCAATCCATGTGAGGGCATAGAACGCCTATGAACACATTATTTAGGCTTTAATTTATGAACAACATGGGAACTGTTTTAGTTTATAAAAGCTTTTTATTGCTTTCTGATTCTCTGCAGTGTTCTAAAGTGTAAAGTTTGTTTGATACCTGAGTTCTAGTGTCCAAATTATTTCTACACATGTAGGAACCCTGCTAAATTGTGATATCCTTGAAGACAAAAATTGCACCTTATCAATCTCTGCATTCACAGTGCATAGTCCAAGATCCAAGTAGTCAGAGACACTCAATAAATGTGATTTGTAACGGTAATTGAATGAGTATATGTGTAAGTGGATGTGTATAAGTGATATATGTGTGAAACATTCTAAAATAAGTATGTGTTTAAGTACCTCTAAAATACACGCCCTCAGATTATCCAGAATAAACCAGCAGTAGCTGCACAAATTATTTCATATTGACGTTTGCAGGTAGAAAGTGATTTACTAATCCATTCCTTAAATAGAATAAATAAACTCAGAGGTGGTAATACAATGATCATATTTTAATTGAGAGTTACTATTCCATTGGTTAATAGTCAATTTAAATTTCTGGTCTTGCATGGAATGCTAAATACACAGGTGCCTCTAGAATCTGCTAAAACCTCCCCAAAAATGACAGTGAAGAGGTTAAAAAAACTATTGCAAATCCACAAGGGAAAAAACAACAAGACAGAACAAACAAGAGCTGTTAACTACATCTTGTAAGTTAAAAAGTTAATAGACAACTAGACTAGTTACGTGAGCAAAACTGAAAACCACAAAGAGACAGAATTAAAGTAGGCTGATTCACTGTGCAGAATAGAAGGAAGGCTCAGGGTTTGGAAAAGTCAGATATCTCACAAGGCAGGAAGTGTGTCTGGAACTGATTATAGGAAAGATTGTTGGAAAGTTTGTATGGCAAGCAGTTACATCTTCAGATGTCTCCCCTCAAGACAGATAAACAAGCACTTACTCACTTTCTACTTTGATAAAAGACTAGAGTTTACTCCCTGGAAATAGTGAATCACACAATTTCTGATCTTAAAGATTCTCAGTATTATTATTATTATTTTTGAGACAGCATCTCTCTCTGTCACCCAGGCTGGAGTGCAGTGGTGTGATCTCGGCTCACTGCAACCTCTGCCACCCTGTTCAAGCTATTTTACTGCCTTAGCCTCCCGAGTAGCTGGGACTACAGGCACGTGCCACCACGCCTGGCTAATTTTTGTATTTTTAGTAGAAACAGGGTTTTGCCATGTTGTCCAGGCTGGTCTCAAACTCCTGACCTCAGGCAATCCACCTACCTCGGTGTCCCAAAGTGTTGGGATTACAGACGTGTGCCACCGTGCCTGGCCAATGCTCAGTATTATTGAAGGTAGTGGTAAATATTTTCATCCAGAGAATATTAAAATGTAGTGCTAAATTGTGAGCCCTCACATTATATGGCCCTCCCCAGAACCTCTGGGGAGTGAAGAGACAGGCCTACACAGGTGGTAGGAATTTGGACTCGTCCCCTTTTATGCGTGATCTGCCCAAGAGAAAAGCCCATGAGAAACTGACAGGTAAAGTTTTCCTAATAAAAAAGCCAGATTCCTCTCTGCTTACCTTTGCAGGGAGACCAATCAGTCAACAAACACTACCTATTCACATAGATCTTTCAAAAACCAATTTAGTGTTTCAATAGTAAATATAAATAAACCGTAAAAAATGCCCTGAGGAAAGCCACTTACATAAATCATTAAGACCAAAACACACACACACAAACCAAACTTAAAAGTTATGCAAAGAGCAAAAGAAAAGAAAAAAGTTGAAGAGTTCTAGATTTAACAACTTAGATGTTGAGACACTAAAACAAAATCAGGATGCTATAAAAGGAATGTTCAGAAAGTAAATAAAATACTCTTGAAACAAAACTATGATAGAAATGTATTTTTAAAAGCTCTCTATGGAGGAACTGAATAAAAAATCTTCTCCAAAACCCCCACAAAAAATGACATAAAAATATAAGGAAAAAAAACTAACATTAGATGATCAACTCAAGAAATTCATATCCTGAATAGGAATTCCAAAAAAAGAATATGAAAAAGTCCAGGCGCAGTGGCTCACACCTGTAATCCCAGCACTTTGGGAGGTCGAGGCTGGCGAATCACTTGAAGCCAGGAGTTTGAGGCCAGCATGGCCAACATGATGAAACTCTGTCTCTACTAAACATACAAAAATTAGTTGGGCATGGTGGCACGCGCCTGTAATACTAACTACTCAGGAGACTGAGGCAGGAGAATCGCTTGAACCCGGGAGATGAAGGTTTCAGTGAGTCAAGATCATGCCTCCACACTCCAGCCTGGGCGACAGAGTGAGACTCCCTCTCAAAAACAAAACAAAACAAAAAAAGAATATGAAAAAGACACAGTAATAAAGGAAGTAATACAAGTAAGTATTTCAGAACTTAAGAACACAAAGCTCTAAGTTTTTTTTTATTCCAACTAAATCCTAATAAAATGAATGGATTAAAAAGACCTGAAGGCTCATAATCATTAAATTTCAAAATACTGGGATGTAGAGAAAATTTTAAAAGCATCTGAGTGCAAAAGCAAGTCATTTATAATTGATCAAGACTCAGAACATTATCAGAATTCTTAAAACATCATTAAAAGCTAAAGTAGTATCTTCTGAGCGAAAAATGTATGTTGGTTTGGACTGGGTGGAGGGAGAGAGTGGAATTCTTTATCTTGCCAAATAAGCAATCATTACACATTTTAATGATTTTCTATATTTTCTTTACTCCCAAGTACCATTCTTAAGCAGTTACTGTAGAATAGTATGTAGTAAAGAATCAAGCCTTTCCCCAAGAGATTTTTCTGGTTTTTGCCCTAAGCTTTTGGAAAGTAATGTCTTAAATCTTGGGATTTTATGCCTGATAGAAATGTCTTTGTCTGTCTACGGGCCTTGGAACATGCAGCACAGTCTAACAGTGTGATTTAAGGTGTGGCTGGCCATCCAAGGAAAGCAAGATAATTTATGTTGAGGGTTTTGGGCCATAAGATAGTAGTCAATCTAGAGACTGAAATCAACTATGTGTGCAATTAATTCATCAATCATACCTATGTAATGAAACCAAAAAAGAAGCTCAACAACAAGGCTCTGGTGAGCATCTCTTGCTGGCAATTCTCCGTGCATGTTGTCATAGATCAGTGTGGAAAGTAATGCATCCTGACTCCACAAGGATTAGACAAGAAAGTTCTGCATTTGGTATTTCCCCAAACTCTGCCCTATGTGCTTTTTGCTTTGGCTGATATTGATTTGTATTCCTTCCCTGTAATAAATGATAGACATGAGTAAAATGGCTTTCAGTAAGTTTTGCAAGTCCTTCTAGCAAATTATAAAAACTGTTTTGGAAACTTTCCAAACTTACAATTGGTGTCAAAAGTGAGGGTGGTTTTGTGTGGAATGTACTCTTTCCAAACTTTGTAGTTGGTTCTCCAAATACTGTAAATATGCTCCACCAAATGAGAAAATAAGCTGGGAAATATGTTTTGGGATCCTAGAAATGAGGCACATAATAAGAGTGAGAGGTGAGTAGAATTCTCAGGATGAAGAAGGAACAGCCCCAGATGCCAGTTGTGCAGTGGGTCTTAGTAAGCAGCCAGATTGGAACAGGAGTGCAGGAAGCTCAAGATAAATTCATTAAGGAAAATAAGGAGGAAAGAAAGAGAACTTGGAGGTTTCTACATGGGGGGCACTTTTACAGGGCCCCAATATATTAGGTTTATATAAGAGAGTGGGCAACTATTGCTCGATATTTTCATTTCTCAAACTGGAAATACAGATTTTTACATGAGAACTTTGATTTTTATATGAAAATGCCCAATTTCTAAATGTTGACAACAAATTCAAATTCAAACATTTTGCTGTATAAACATAACAAATCTGTGGGAACAAATCCATTCCACTAGCATACCACCAGTTTGCAGTTTGCAGTTTTGCTCTGCAGCATTTATTTTCTTTGCTCTGGCAGTGTTCTAAGCTAAAGCAAGACTCTTAGGATGCTCTGTTCTTATTGCTAATGTCCTATCCAGCCCTATTCCTTAAGATCATTGGGTTTTTAGTTATTTTTTTTTCCACAAATGGTTTGGAATTCTGAATTTGTTTGGTTCACTCAATGCTGAATGCCCATTTACTACCTTAATCTATAGACATGGGAGATTTCGTACTTCCTAGTGGATTCTCCAGTGGGAAGTCAGCTACCAAGTTTGAGTCAAGAGTCTTCATATGTATTAGTAAATATGAGCTTGGGTTACTGTCGCCACTGGGAAAAGACCACAGACTCCCTAATCTTGCTACTCTCCAATGTTGAGGATATTTTCCAAGGAACCAACACTTTTAAAGATCTCCAGCAAAATGGTTCCCCGGCTTAAAAGTACAGCCAGAGTCCTTGAGAAATCAGCACTTCCTTTAATTAATATCTGGAATGCAACTATTCTCACTATTTCTACCACTTCCCAGCCACCTAGAATGCAGCACAGATTAATACAATAGAACTCCAAACTGGGTAACCAGCTTCTACGCTCGTTCTTGACCTTTTCTCTCCACAGCCCCAAGAGTGTTCCTTTAAAAGGTCAAATGATGTCAGTCCTCTTCTCAAAGTCATCCAGTGGCTCCAACTTACCCAGAGTAAAAGCCCATGTAATCTTGTCTACAACCCTGGCCCCTCTTCCCAACCTTCCCTGATCTTTCCTCATTCACTCTGCCTTTAGCCAAATTGGCCTCTGTGGTAAACTGGAAAATAGCTCCCCAAAAGATATCCACCTCAAATCTCTGGAACGCATGAGTTTTAAAGGTCACAAGAGGATCTGCTGATCCTGGATTATCTGAGTAAAAACTGCAATCCTATGTATCCTAATAAAAGAAAGGCAGAGGGAGTTTTGAGAGAGACATACAGAGAAAAAGGTGATGTGAAGACAGGCAGAGATCAGAGTGATGTAGCTGCAAACCAAGGAACACCTACAGACAACATAATCTAGAAGAGGCAAGGAATGGAATCTCTCCTGTGGTCTACAGAGCAGAGGTCCCCAACCTTTTTGCTACCAGGGGCTGGTTTTGTGGAAGACAATTTTTCCCTGGGGTTGGGGGGAGATGGTTTCAGGATGAAATTGTTCCACCTCAGAACCTCAGATCAGCAGGTATTAGTTAGATATTCATAAGGAGCACACAACCTAGATCCCTTGTATGTGGAGTTCACAATACGGTTTGCCTTTCTATGGGAATCTGCTGCTGCCACTGATCCCACAGGTTAGCTCAGGCAATAATGCCGGTCAGCCCGCCACTCACCTCCTGCTGTGAAGCTGGGTTCCTCACAGGCCAGGGACTGATACTAGTCTTGGTGCGGGGAAAGGGGAACCCCTTGCTCTAGAGGGAGTTTGACCTAACACCTTGATTTCAGAATTGGAACCTCCAGAAATGTAAGAAATTCATTTATGTTGTTTTAAGTCACCCCATTTGCAGCCATTTATTACAGCAGCCACACAGCCTCTGCTGCTTTAGACGTATTGGCCTCTGAGCTTTTTTTTTCCAAGTTACTGTAAATTATTTATATATTTAATATATTCATTGTTTTAAATTGACAAATGATAATTGTATGTGTTTCTGGGGTGCCATGTGATTGAGAGGTGACAGCGTGCTGGCAGTCCTCACAGCCCTCGCTCGCTCTCGGCGCCTCCTCTGCCTGGGCTCCCACTTTGGCGGCACTTGAGGAGGCCTTCAGCCCACCGCTGCACTGTGGGAGACCCTTTCTGGGCTGGCCAAGGCCAGAGCCCACTCCCTCAGCTTGCAGGGAGGTGTGGAGGGAGAGGCGCGAGCGGGAACCGGGGCTGCGCGCGGCGCTTGCGAGCCAGCTGGAGTTCCGGGTGGGCGTGAGCTTGGCGGGCCCCGCACTCTGAGCAGCCGGCCGGCCCTGCCGGCCCCGGGCAATGAGGGGCTTAGCACCCGGACCAGCAGCTGCAGAGGGTGTACTGGGTCCCCCAGCAGTGCCAGCCCGCCGGCGCCGAGCTCGATTTCTTACTGCTTAGCTGCCTTCCCACGGGGCAGGCCTCGGGACTGCAGCCCGCCATGGCTGAGCCTTCCTCCGCCTCCATGGGCTTCTGTGCAGCCCCAGCCTCCCCGACAAGCGCCGCCCCCTGCTCCACGGCACCCAGTCCCATCGATCACCCAAGGGCTGAGGAGTGTGAGTGCATGGCGGGGGACTGGCAGGCAGCTCCACCTGCAGCCCCACTGCCGGATCCACTGGGTGAAGCCGGCTGGGCTCCTGAGTCTGGTGAAGACTTGGAGAACCTTTATGTCTAGCTCAGGGATTGTAAATACACCCATCGGCACTCTGTATCTAGCTCAAGGTTTGTAAACACACCAATCAGCACCCTGTGTCTAGCTCAGGGTTTGTGAATACACCAAGACACTCTGTATCTAGCTGCTCTGGTGGGGCCTTGGAGAACATTTATGTTGACACTCTCTATCTAGTTAATCTAGTGGGGACTTGGAGAACCTTTGTGTCTAGCTCAGGGATTGTAAATGCACCAATCAGTGCCCTGTCAAAACACACCACTGGGCTCTACCAATCAGCAGGATGTGGGTGGGGCAAGATAGAGAATAAAAGCAGGCTGCCGGAGCCAGCAGTGGCAACCCGCTGGGGTCCTCTTCCACAGTGTGGGATCTTTGTTCTTTCGCTCTTTGCAATAAATCTTGCTACTCCTCATTCTTTGGGTACACGCTGCTTTTATGAGCTGTAACACTCATTGCGAAGGTCTGCAGCTTCACTCCTGAAGCCAGCGAGACCACAAGCCCACTGGAAAGAACGAACAACTCCCGAGGCGCCGCCTTAAGAGCTGTAACACTCACCGCGAAGGTCCGCAGCTTCACTCCTGAGCCAGCGAGACCACGAACCCACCAGAAGGAAGAAACTCCGAACACATCCGAACCTCAGAAGGAACAAACTCCAGACGTGCCACCTTAAGAGCTGTAACACTCACCGCGAGAGTCCGCGGCTTCATTCTTGGAGTCAGTGAGACCAAGAACCCACCAATTCCGGACACATGATGTTTTGACTCACGTATACATCGTGCAATGATCAAATTAGGCTAATTTGCATATCCATCACCTCAAATATATACCATTTCTCTGGGGTGAGAACATTGAAAATTCTTTTAGCTATCTTAAAATATGTAATACATTCTTATTAACTATGTCACTTTGCTGTGCAATGGAACACCAGATTTATTACACCTTTGTAATTGTAACTTTGTACCCATTGACCAAGTCTCTCCCTTTACCCATTCAACTGCTCTCACCTCCTCAGCCTCTGGTAACCACCATTCTTTTCTGCTTCAATGTATTGGACTTTTAGATTCCACATTGTCTCTTTGTGCCTAACTTACTTTACTTCCCATATTGTCCTCCAGCTTCATCTGTGTCTCTGCTTTCTTTTATTTTTTATTTATTTATTTTTTTGAGACGGAGTCTAGTTCTGCTAGTTCTGTCACCCGGCCTGGAGAGCAGTGGCGCCATCTCAGCTCACTGCAACTTCCGCCTCCCGGGTTCAAGTAGTTTTCCTGCCTCAGCCTCCTGAGTAGCTGGATTACAGGCGCCCGCCACCACGCCCAGCTACTTTTTGTATTTTTAATAGAGACAGGGTTTCACTGTGTTGGCCAGGCTGGTCTCGAACTCCTGACCTCGTGTTCCGCCTGCCTCGGCCTGCCAAAGTGCTAGGATTACAGGCGTGAGCCACTGCACCTGGCCGTCTCTGGTTTCTTTGAAGAACTTTAGGCACACTCCAGGCTCAGGAAAACTGCATCTCTAGTTCTTTCTGATTGCAATAGCCTTCTCCCTGATAATCGAATGGCTTCTCCAGATCTTTCAAGTACTAACTACTTGGGGAGATCTACCCTAATCACCTCACTTAAATCTGCAATGTCCCAGCACTCCCCTCCTCTGCTGCTTTATTTCTCCCTGCAGCATGCATCTAATAACACTTTGTTTTAGTTATAAATGTGTTTATTATCTGCCTCCTTCAAAGATAACGTAAGCTCAGTGAGGGTAGGAGCTGTGGTCTGTTTTGTTTATCCCTGAATCCCCAGTGCCTATGGCGTGAAAAACATCGTTGGAAATATAATTAAGGAATCCATGCATGCAGAGTGAATGAAAGAACCAGGCAGAGAGTTGAAATCCTGACTAATAAGGTGATTTTTTTGTTGTTGTTTCTGAATTGGATCAGTGTGTTAAGACTTATATTTCATGTTGATCCTTCACTAAGCTTTCTTTCTTTTAACAAGTTTTATTCTCTTAACAGAGTTTATTTCCTTTTAGTGATCTTATTCAAATAAAATTTTAATGCTTATGAGCTGTCACTTTTTATTATTCCAAACTTGTTTTGCAATTTCTATAATACTTTATACATTTTATTTTTAATCTAGTTTCTAATGATCAGTGCATCTTTTTACTTTAAGACCTTTACCTCCAACTTTCTGCCATTTATTATTAATTTTATTTTACTTCTTTATTTACATTTTATCCACATTAATAGTGATACAGTGGTTAAAGGTGTAGACTCCATAACCATTGTATCTATGTTTAAATCCCACTTCCTATATTCACTAGAGTTGAAACTCTAAGGAAGTCACCTAATTTTCCTGGTTTGTAAAATGGTAACAATACTCACCTCCCAATTATAGGGTTCTTATAAATATTAAAGATTGAATAGATTTTAAGATTATCTAACAGCGTCAGGCTTACAATAACCCTAAAAAAAAGATTTTTAAGTTCCAAAGTAATTTTGTTACATTATTTTTATACCTGATTTTTTCTTATTTATCTTATTTTGACAGACAACATATGCATAAATTAAATATCAGAATCGCCAAATTTTTAAAGGAACAATTTTTAAAGGAACAATTTGTTTGAGGGACCTTTAAATATAAACTATTTATCTATATCACATCTCCCATATCCACCTTCATTCCTGCAATATGGTCTAAAACCTCAAATTTGTGTACTAGTACCAACCAGTGTATGAATTAGGAAATATCACTAACATTAGGCTTTCAAAACAGGAACATCTTTTGTGTCCCATAATAAAGAAGGGAGGGGGAAAAGCATTTTAAAATCGTGAAGTAAACTGCCCTGAAGGCTAAAATTGCTGCCAACTTAATAAGCCCAGTATGGTTTATGAAATATTTGTGCTCTGTCTGACAGCCACAGTAAAAACCTCCAGTAGGTTTTCAATTGGATAAAAGAAAAACCAGAATATATTGGAATGAGGCCACATTTATCTAAATCAACAGAGACATTTTTTACTGCAGTGACCTTCACTGCATCCTGAGGACTATAGCAGCATTAAAAAAAAAAGTCTTTTTTTTTCCTTAAATATATAAAATACCCTGAAAAGATCTGTCTTTATCTAGGTTTTTTTCCCATGATCACATATTCAAGAACTTCTTCTAAGGATTTCATATGCTTGAAGTTATTATACATTTCTCTCCACCTCCATAAGCTACTGTTATATTTTACATAAATGCTAAAATTCTCCTAGAAATGTCATATTCCTTTCTTTAATGATCATCACTCAAAACAACAGCTTTCAAAAAACCCATTGTGCTGACATCTAAGGAGAGAAATATTCTTAAGATGACTGGAATCAATCAACATAATGAAAAACCTAATGTTTAACATCTGTATAAATACTTAGATATGGGATAAAGTAAAGAGTCTGAGTAAACTAATCTCTTTTCTTTTTGGAGGAAACATTGGACTGAATTTGTAATCTCTTTATTTACCATAGATCCCAATACAGTGGACAAGATACTCCAGACATTTTACATGCATCTAATTTGCTGCTCAAGACATTCTACAAATCTTCATAATTTCAAGATCAACCATAATGCTTTCCAAGTTGCCAAATTTTAAAATATACTAGTTTAAACCATGGTTATTAAGTTAAAAGAAATATATATATACACATATATACATTATATATATATATATATATATTTTTAGATGGAGTCTTGCTCTTGTTGCCCAGACTGGAGTGCAGTGGCGCGATCTTGGCTCACTGCAACCTCCGCCTCCCGGGTTCAAGCGATTCCCCTGCCTCAGCCTCCTGAGTAGGTGGGAGTACAGGTGTGTAGTGCCACCACGCCCGACTAATTTTTTGTATTTTTTTAGTAAACACGGGGTTTCACCATGTTGGCCAGGATGGTCTCTATCTCCGTACCTCATGATCCACTCGCCTTGCCTCCCAAAGTGCTGGGATTACAGGTGTAAGCCACCACGCCCGGCCCTAAAATATTATTTTTAATTGGAAGGGGAAATACGGAATTAATTTTATCTCAGTTTCCTCCATCTTTCCATTTGGCCAAACTAACTTTTCATTAAATTTATATTACTTGATAATTAAAATAAATAGAATAGATATCCTTTTATTTTTTATAACATATATGTGCATATATTTGTGCATATGTACATAGATATGAATAAAATATTTAAGTCTCACATACATGGATACATTTCCCTGGCATTCATATATTTAATATTAAGATGCCCATTGTGTGGCCGAGTGCGGTGGCTCATGCCTGTAATCCCAGCACTTTGGGAGGCCGAGGCGGGCGGATCACGAGGTCAGGAGATCGAGACCATCCTGGCTAACATGGTGAAACCCCATCTCTACTAAAAAATTACAAAAAAATTAGCCGGGCGTGGTGGTGGGTGCCTGTAGTCCCAGCTACTTGGAAGGCTGAGGCAAGAGAATGGCGTGAACCCAGGAGACGGAGCTTGCAGTGAGCCAAGCTCGCACCATTGCACTCCAGTCTGGGCGAAAGAGCAAAACTCCATCTCAAAAAAATAAATAAATAAATAAATAAATAAATAAATAAATAAATAAATAAATAAAATTGCCCACTGGGTTATGTGAAATGGTTCACTAAAGAGTAATCCAAAATACTAAGTATGTTCCTCTAATATGAAAAAAGAAAAATTTTAATCATCCATGCTACTTGCTTATCCATACCTTTTCTTATGTGTAACTTGCTAGTAAGTTATGACTGGAGGCGTGCCTAAAAAGCCTTAGGTCTTCAAAATGTGACCCATCTGTCCCTGTGCTACTGACCAAAATTGCTTCACAAAGGTTCCTTTGAGTTAGACAATGAAGGAGCTGTGAAAATTAAACACGACCTATTACAGGTGGTATGTTATGCCTTATAAGCCTTAGTTGTTAGTGGCTTAGCAAGTTGCTCTGCAATCTAGCATGGCCTTCAAGAAAAGAATGAAGAACTGCTGACCTTTAATCTAGTGAATGCGTGTGAAAGAGAAGGTGATAGGAAAATGCCTTGAGAATGACATGATTCTTTAATTCAAGGAGTCACATGCTGGCATAGCATGTGGTCATCTGGGGGATATTGGAAACACAGGAAGTATCTAGAACACAGTGATAACTACAGGCTTCCAAATCATCATCCAGAGCGGCCTCATAATGTTTCGTTTGCAGATAAAATTTTAATGAATTCATTTATTTAAAAATATTTATCAAGTACCTATTCTATGCTAATATCTGTTCTAGGAATTGAGCTTCATTAGTGAAGAAAACACAACATAGGGAAGAAAACAAAATTTCTACCTGCATGAAGCTTACCGTCTTGGGTAGTGATCTTGGCTCACTGCAACCTCCATCCTGGGTGGCAAAAAGAGAAAATAAACATAACCAATAATTAAAATATAGAGAGTAATTGAAAATGATACATTGAAAAATATAAAAGAAAGAGAGCATTATAAGGAGGACCAGGTGTAAGGGATTGGGATAGCTATGTTGGAATTTTAAATACAGTGACTGGATTAGGGCTCATTGAGAAGTGCCATCTGCATAAAGATCTGAAAGAGGTGAGGAAATTAGCAAGGCAGTTGTCTCGAAGGGCAGATGTTGAAGCAGGGGAACAGAAGTAAAAGACAAGGTCAGGGAGATGGCAGGGGACACACTGCTGACCATTTAAGGCTTCATCAGTCATTGTAAGGATGTTAGCTTTTACTTTTAGAAAACTGAGAAGTCACTGCAGAGTTTTGATCTAAGAAGTAACATGAGCTGAAATTTTCACAGGATCACTCTGGCTGCTATTTTGAGAATAGATCATAGTTAGACAACAGTAGGAATAAGGAGAACAGTAGGGCTACAGTTACACCCATCCAGGTGAGAGATGATATTGCCAGGGTCCACGGTGACAGCAGCAGAAGTGATGAAAATGATCACAATCACCTTATGAATGTATTCTAATATTATTCTCCGATCGATTGGATGTGAGCATAAGAAAAATAAAGTAAAATAATAACTTGATGGCTGTTTTGAGCAGAACTGAGCTGGAGAGAACTGAGCTGCCTGGTGTCAGGGTAATTAAGACAAGAAACCAAAATGAAAGCAAAAATCAAGTCTTTACTCAATAGCAAAGAAAGAAGCTAAATAGGAGAATGTGTTGGTCCTTCAATGTTTCATTCTTCTTCCATAGAATGGCTGCAGGCAAGGGTCAGGTAAATCAGCACAGACTTAAGGATCATCTTACTGTTGATGTAGGCTCCAAAAAATTCCCAGACAAAAAGATCTCCAAATGAGGGCACTTAGCCTAGGAATGAAGGTGTAAGAGCATGGGCAGCCAAGGAATCTAGAGTTCATAACTGCAACTCTCTTTAGAGACAACAGAGCACTCTCTGTGCCTCACGTGGTATGGGGAGGGCAGCTTTCTTGCATTAAGTCCTATCTGGTAGAGACTTTGTAATTGCCTGAAACATCACAGATAGGTTTTTAGCCATGACACAGACTCCATATTAAATAACGTGACATACAGCCGAGATACGTTGTAAAAATTTTTCAGAGAAGATAGAGGGATTCAGTTTTGGACATTTCATTTTCTGAGTCGTCGGTTTAAGCTAAAATATGATGTAATAATAAAAACCTCCAAATCTCAATAGTTTATAAAGATTAAAATTTTTTCTCTTACTACACATTCATAAAGTTTCTGAATTTGTCTTTTATTTCTTAGTCTACTATTGTTCCCTTCATATTAAAAGGTACTTTTAATTCCAGAAGATCCTCAAAAATCTACTTTTTAGATATCATTTTGGGATTCCATGGATATCTTCTCCTTTTAGTAAAGGTACGATCAATAGATGAACTGAATTAAACCCTGACACCCAGGTGCCATGGCAAAACTCCCTATGTAGCCAACATTCCATTGTCCAGAAGCTTCCAAGATAATTGAGGAATACAACATTTTATAGGGGCACAAACAGTAAACTGAAAGCTAGGAAACAAGATTCTGGTTCCTACACTGAGCCCCAACATACAATTAAGTTTGGGGCCATTTTAAGACCTCGACCTTGGAAATATTTGTAATTTTTAACATACTTAATCAACTAAGACTCTTGAAACTGAAAGTGACAAAAAGCCAAATTCAAACTCTAATAAGTCAAAAACAAAATGGATTTCCTCTCCTTATTAGAAAGTCAGTATATGGGACTGGAGCCAAACACACCGGGGGCAGGGCGGCCTCATGGAGCAGTGGTTGGACTAATGAATACCTGCAGCATCAGCAATTCAATACTGTCCTCCTTCTCAAACTAGTTCTCCCCTGCATATTGCATTATGACCACAGGAACTTCAGGTCTTACATATTCATAACCTGAAGCCCAGTAGAAAAAGAGAGAATTTTCCTTTTAACGGAAAGTAAGACAACAGACCTGATCCTGGCTATCACTGTTACAAAATATGCCTCTGCTTAGTTAAACCACTGTGGCCAGAGAAATGACTTAAGGCAATTAATTATATTCCTTTTCTTTAGCTGGGTAGTTTAGCCACCAAGAAACACGCGTATTGATAACAGAGGGACAAATTTCCCAAAGGAAATGTGAAATTATTCTTTAACAGAAAAAAATGAATGTAGACCTTGTGAGTGTAAAGGCATGTAATTTGGCAAAAATTACCTACTGTTCTTTATCCATAAAGTGAAGGTTTTATACTAAATGATTTCAATGTCTCTTGTAGATCAATGCTTTTTACACATCCCAGAGTCATTTCATGTTGTGAGCCTCTGGGTCCTCTTTACAGGTAAGACTCATGCAGCTCTGAGGACCCTGGTGAAATTGGGACATGAGACAGACACAGGTTTAAAACATTATGATATATTTCAAACAATTTCTCTGAGATTTTTTCTATTTAGAAGCTAAACTGCAAATATTTTATTCTTATGATAGATAAGTTAGCCTCGATTTTTATGAGTGTATATACCATTAATGCATTTGTGATACCTATTAGTTGATGTTAATTCTTTTCTCATATGGTAGTTTCACTATATGCAATTTGTTAATAAACACATATCAAAGATACTAGTAAATTTGTGGGACAAATAAATAGTGTTGCTTCATAATAAAATTACCTTTATGTTTTATATTTTAATTTTATTAGTTATGACTTGAAATGGACAGTTAATACATTCCTTCAATGCACATTTTAATATGGCACTACCATACATTTTTCTTATTTAGGTATAGCATTAACTGTTACTTTTTCAAGCCATAATGCTTGCTTTTCAAGGGCTGACACTAATTTTCATTTCATTCTGCTTTGGAATAGATAACAGGGAAGAATAATTATCACTTTCAAAATGAGGGTATTGATTCTTGACCCATGCATTACAACTATGACTGAATGTGTGTGCTTTGTGCTTAATAAACCATAAAATAATAGCATACTTACACTTTCAAATAATGTACAAACACTTAAAATATAACAGCAATTAAAATGGTTAACAGCAGACATCTGCACTATTGGGACAAAATGAGCATGTTTACATGAAATAATAGTATCGTGGGTTTATGGTGATTCTAAACTTTTGAATTTAAGAACTTAATCATTGTCAATCAAATTAACTTAATAAATTTGACCTGTGAACCTTAACCATGTGATGAAGAATGTGCTATCAGCTGTCTCAAGTTCCCTTTCCTTATACCAAGGATAACTATTTAGGATTGGGGTGTGTGTTTGTTTGTTTTTAGCCAAACCCGTTGATTAATGGTCATTAAGGTGATCTAAACAAGTACTCAGGATTTCTCCCTCCTGCTGGGCACTTCCCTGAGGGAGAGAGTATTTGACCACCCACATTTACTTTGTCCCTGTCCAAGTATATTGCCTATCTCTTGAACATGCCCATTATCCACTTTTCCCACTAGCAAATATTCAGTGTTATATCTGACTTAGACTACATATTCAGAGAGAGGTCAGCTCATTATCTCATGGTGTGTGGTGACAGACAAGTTAAGGGATTAGAGTGTCATTCAGTAAGATAAGATAATGTGACAGAAAAGGAGCAAATAAATAAACTAACTGTTTAGTGCTCCTGGAGCATGGATGCTACAGAGCTTCAGTGTTGGTAAAACAGAGGAGACACACGTAGATTCATAAAATTTCAATCATAGGCATAGTCTCCCATAAAAATGTTTGACCATATATCCATTTTATGCATTAAAAATATATTGAGACAACTAATTTACACTGGAGAGAAAAGTTTTTTATAATATTAATTCGTTGATATAAAAATGATACTCAGAAATTATACATTTCAATTCTCATCTTTTGTAAACAAATAAGGCATTTTCATTTGAAAAATGTTGATTCTGAAGAATCAATACCTAAGTATCACAGAGATATATCCCAGCTATATGACTAAATTTCTAATTTTAATAATTGTTGTTGTTAAATTGAACTAAGTCTGAGCTTTAGAAGCTTCAGTACAAGTCCTCCTAAATAAACTGCAACCTAAGCTGGTATATAAAAAAGCTGAAAACTTATCTTCGGAATTTGCCTTTATAACAAATAGCTGAGTCTCAGCCAATCACTCCAGCCTAGCTTCAGTCCATGGCAGCCAGCAGGCTGTTCAAACCACATTCAATTAAGGCAAATGCTGAGCTTTAACCGATTAATCTGGCTGTACCTCACTTCTGCTTTTTGTATGTCACTTCCTTGTCCCTGGCTATAAATAAAACCTGCACTTGTGAGGTGGAACATTCTGAATGATTTTTGGTCCTGACTGCTGTCCGATTCTGGAATTGCAGATACAAGCCAATTAAGATCTGCAAAACTAGGTTTGTTGTACTTTTGTCTTTTAAGAATCTAATAGATACACATGATTTTATGAAGATAATTATTCTACTAAATTCAATTCAAGAGGTAATATAGGTATTTTTCTAAGCCCATATTATCCAAGATGTGGCTATAAAGCACCTGAATGTGGCTAGTCCAAACTGAGATGTACTGTAAGTGGAATATATACACTAGATTTAGAAGTACAAAAAAGTGTAAAATATCTCAATAATTAATTTATATTCATTATATGTTGAAAAAATAATATTTTGGGATATGACAGATTAAATAAAATATGACATTGTAATTAATTTCACCGATTTTTCTTTACTCTTAAATGTGGCTGCTAGAAAATTTTACATTCCAATGTAAGGCTTACATTATATTTCTATTGGATCGCTGTGTTCTAGGCAGTACAGCATAGCATTAGCATATTGAAAATTACCTTTTTTCATTCCAGACTCATGCATGGTTCATATAAATCATGGCCTTTATGTTAAAAATGCTCTCATATAGCTAAAGCCATTAGAATGTGCTATCATAAAGGAATAAAGAAATGAATTTTCCTCCACTTACAATTTCATAACTGACACTGAAGTCTTTTTCTCTGTAACTATTCCATGCATTAGGAATGTCTGGTACAAAGCATAAATCTGCACAGTTGTACATTTTGTTATGATTCGTTTTGACATTCCCAATTACATTTTGGAAACCTTAGCTACAATGTGCCCAGCAATTTTTTCAACCAGCTGAATAAATTTTGTTAAAATCATCTAAGGTATTGAAACATTTATTTATTTAGCTATTAGCTCTAGTTTCTTTGGGATACCCAAAAGTTGAATTTGCACTCAAATTTATATACTATCTTATTATTAAATAGTACAGAGCTGGTAGAACCCCACTTTCAGAAACACTGGGCTTCTGTGGTTCCTTCCTGGAGTAAATGGAATGTGTGAAGTTATTAATTTTTGTTCAGCAAGTACCGGTGTGAAAACTGATCTTTTTATAAACACTGGTGAAATGAAGAAAATAACCTCTTGCTATTTCTATTATCAATCCCAGCTTTTTTGTCTAATACTTAAATTTGACCAAACCCTTGAGCCAAATCAACTTTTTTCTAAACTCACTTGCCAATTTTTTTTAAAGCTAAACTTTTCTCCATGCACCACTTTTATCGAAATAAAGAACAACCAAATGTCAAACAATCTGTTTCTATTCTAAGAAGACTTCTATCTAGATGGTGTTTGCAGTACTCGAATATAGAATACATTTTTGGAACATCAAATAAGGTAGCTAGGAGACCTAAAAATTCACTGCATAAAATTTCTATCATAAGTTATTTTATAATCTATAGCCACAATAAAAATAAAAGATTAAAATAAAAGATATTCATGATTAAAGAATGTTTTTTGACTGAGAGTAAAAATACTATATTTGAACTACATGAAGTAAACTCATGGGCACTTACCTTAACACAGTATAACCCCGATTAAAGTTGTTTTTCAGGATCCTAAAAAGATAATTTATACGTAGTATTAGATATCTAGAAAAAGTGAAATATAAATCTATTTATTTGTAAGCGCTCATTCTCAAAAATCAAATTTTTGCATAATATCAATTCTATACCCTGAAGTCCATGTACAAGAGCCAATATACATTGTGTAATACCCAAATCTTTTTATAGTGTAGCATCAGGAAGTAGTCTTCTTTGAAAATAATTCTATTCACAAGATGAATTCTGTGGAGATTATCTTTTGAGCATACCAATGAATTCTCCAAACAACATTTTTTTTAAATCATGAAATTTAACAGAATGCCAAATTAAAAAAAAATATACTTACAATTGATAGTAAAATAGACAGTCATCCAACCTTTATATTATTATTATTTGAAAATTTATGTTTGCAGTGGAGATAGTGTATAACATAATATAAATAGATGTAAAGGCAGAATGAGAAAGATGCTTTGTTTTTAATTTTCTTAATAAGAACTGGCGCATTCCTCCTTTGCTTTTGATAATTTCAATTGGCCACACTCACACTGTATAAACCAATAAAAGATCTCAGATAATAGAGGGAAGAGGAGGTGAGCCACCTGGCTGTATTCCCTTTTTAGCAATTCTATGGCATTGTTGTGGAAGTCAATTCAGCTCCAGGCAGTTAGGAAGTTAGCTTTTACTGAGTACTCACTACACACTGAGTAGAGCACTCACACCCGCCAGGAACAACTGGGACCACCTGTGGAGCAGAGCAAGAAAGCACCTGGGGACAAGTGAAGAGGCAAACAGAAACCAATTAGCTTAATAAGGCAAGGTTTTCTACAGGATGTTGCAGCTTGAGTCCCACTGTTCTGGCTTTCTCTTTACTATTTTGCCCTCTAAGTTATTTTATTTTTTTCCCCACAAAAGAAGCCTGCCTTATTCCAGTTTTTGAAATTTGCTAGTTTAATTTCCTGTTTTCTTAGCATTTTGTCACAAATTTTAATATATCCTTGCTTGTTAAATATTATTTACGTGTACTTGTTCTTCTCAAATAACTACATAGACTGAGCAAAATAATTATTAATTTTATTTCTATTATTTTACACAAAAGGTTTATTATATAATCATGTAATTATTTCATGTAATCTTGTTGGTTTTTTTTCTTTTACTTTTAAGCACATGATTAATCCTGTTATCCGTTAACTTTAATGAATGTGGTTAAGGACTTGCTACTCTAAGTGTTTCAGAGAATCCAATGAGATTACTGTTCTAAAAGCACATAGGAAATAGAAATGGAAAAATAAACAGTACTTAGCATAGGGTCCATGGGAAGGGGACAAGATTGCTACAGAAGATCAGAGAAGAAATGAACCAAATATTTGGAATAAACTACTCTTACCTAAAAACACTTTTTAAAGAAGCTAATGAAAAATGTTTTCTAAGTTCCATAATGGAGAATGTGACAGACATACAACAAATTAAGTCAAACAAAGAGCCCATTAAAATTAACATCAAGGTGAACCAAAATTAAATAACATTTGAGACAGTAAGTAGCAGGCTATAAACTGTAGAAAATTCAGCATGAGACTCCTAAATGTCTTCTAAACTATCTTTGGGCCAACTTTTACTCCAAATCACACAAAACTCACTCTAATTAACTAGTGCCTTCAAACAAAAAGAGCCACTACCTACTGAGTCTCATTTGAAGAGTGCCCAGCAATAATGTGTACCCAATGTTACAACCATGAAGCTCATGATTGGTGCAATTAAACTAAAAATCCAGAGGCAATACCAACATACCCTCTGGGATTACAGAGATAGACAAAACTATACCTCATTCCAATCCCTGGGATGATTATAAATGTGAAGTCTGCCAACAATGTAAGCCTTTACAAATATTGGCCGTTTTCCTATTAGTTATATTGATCTCCCCCACTCCAGTGCAAGACTCATTTATTGAGGTGGAAAGAAATTGCACTAACAGACCAAGCGTACCTGACCATGGGCCTCATTCCTGATCACTTATCAATAGATATATATAAGGAACATGATGTATACAACATAATATTACCTGGGCCAAAGCATGTCTCAAAAATCAGGGACTACAACCATCTTGGGAACTGTTCTCTAACCTGAAAATACCAACTGCAAGTTTTACATAACTCTCAAGGAAAAAATTCTCTACAATTGCAACACTGGCTTCCCACAGAATCAACCAGAGCTCTTGGATATTACAGCCAAGGGAATTCTTACAAAAATATATTTAATTTGTTTAATATATACAAATATACTTAATCATATGGAGAAGTCTAGATGTTCTCTGAATAAGTTTCCCCACCCAGTTCTACTAAGACCACCACTAATAAGAAATTAGGAAATAAATTAGGGAAATTTCCACCCAATGTTATTCTGGGAAATTCTTAAAAACGTACACACTCCACCATAAAGGAGATAGAAACAACAGGGAAAAACTCAGAGATAAATTTGACCTGGGAGGAAATGTATTGGTATAATTACACCATCATCTTTGAAGGGGTCCCCTCTGAGGCTACTAAAGGTATACAATTGGCTGACCTAGAAAAATTTTCCCTACCACAGAAGCAATGGAGCAAGCAGTGACCCAATGAAGCACAGCAATGTCATGATAACAGGAATAGAAATGGGTCAAATGTATAATACGATCGATGTCTATTTCTGAAATAATTTGGTCCACTTGTGATGATCTCATATTTGAATCACATGGTTCTGATTCTGAACCCAGAGTTCAAATCTAATTTGGTAAATGGCTGAATTCAGAAAAGAAAGCAAGCATTTGTATGATCTTTATTTTTCTGAATACAGTAATGTTTCTTCATAATATGTTTTTTTTCTTTTTTGGTGGGACAAAGAGTTTAGCCTAAAACAGGTTTTCTCAACCTTCACACTATTGACATTGTGGATCAGATGACTCTTTGTTGCTGGAGGAGGGGAACCTTCCTGTGTATTGTAGGATTTAATAGCATCCTTGATCTCTACTACACATAACTAGTGCCCTCCCTGTCCCCAGTATGACTATCAAATACATCTCCAGATTTGCTGAATATCCCCTATGGAACAAATCCCACCACACGCCACCTGACTGGCCTAGAAAGCATGCTAGACCTTTTTATTCTGGCTTGCCTATACCCACTCCCAGTCCTCCCGTTTCTAGTTACTGGAATCTTGTCCACTCACCAGATTATTTTTGGATGGGTGGATAAATGGACTTTTCATTAATTGCCAAAATTTCTTCTTCCAAACTACGCTTTTAACATTAGGCTTAATTTTTGCTATTTTTTCCTCTTTGAATTATTTTTATTTATTTTGGTTCTTTTAAAATAGCAAAAAAGGTTTGTACATCTGTGACTTTATCCCCATATTTTCCCATAACTCTTTCTGTTCTTTTTTAAGTAGGACTTACTCATAAAAAGATTTTTGGCTCAATAAAGTTCCGAAGTTCGGCCACTTTATAGGTTAAAAAAATATTCTTTCAAAGTACAAATGTAACTGGGAGATGTGAAATACTGTCACTGATGAAATTCATTTTGTGAGTTAAAAAATTACTGTTTCAGAATATAAGTCTAAACTAAAGCTTTAAAATACTGTCATTCAGTCTTTACGGATGTTATTTATCATTAGTTTCTTCCTTTGCCTTGACTCTCTTAAGAAAAGTGAAGTTTAAAATACATTTTACACAAAATAATTTTTTCCGGCTCTTAGAAAAGAATAGGCACTTTGAATCAGTGATGCTGGATTTTTAATAGGGGGTTCTGTGTGCTGGTGCCTTCTCAGAGTGTCTTGCTGTGAATTGTGAGATGCTCTGTGGGTGGGAGAAGTGACTGGCTTCCTGGCCCTGGTGAATATAAACATTAGAATGACAGAGAACATGCAAGGAGTTAGGAAACCTTTATCTACTTAAATATTTCCTCAGAGTAAAAGACAAATGAAATTATATGCTATTACATACATCTATATTGAGTCTCCGCTTTGTTCTTTCTCTTGCCTCTTCATTCTGGGAAATATCTTCTGGATTCTACAAATACACATTACATGTTTCGTAAACTTAATTTTCTAAATTTTTCAATTTATTTTCAAACTCTATTTGAATCATCCAGTATTATTTGACATTGTGAAATAATGTAAATTCAGCCTCTACTTCACATATAAAGGTGCAGAGTCCACAGAAAGCTGTCTAAATACATGCTTGGGGTGGGTCTCTGATACCAATTGTTGTTGATGCTGAGAGAGGCAAGGACGTTTTTTTTCTTAAAAAGTGTGTCCTGTGCTTCACGTGTGAAAAAAGAGGCTAGAAGAAAAATTAATTTACATGGACAAATTGTGCAAGAGATAATCAAGCACCTGGATTTTTGTACACAGATCACAACAAAAGCAATGCAAGCATTGTGAAGAACATGTTCTAATAAAACCTTGGAAAATCCAAAAAAAAAAAATGTATCTCTAGAGCCAAGTTAATTAACATTAGGGAAGAACTAATACAATACCTGGAAAAAGCTACCAGTGAGAAAAGTTGTTTATTGCTTTATCTATTTTAATAATTTCATTTTCTTGATCTTTTACATGCAATTTAAACCCATGTCTTGGATTGGATTTCCTAGACAGAGAGCCCAAGACAGCGAATCGGAGCATGTGATTAACTGAAGGAGAACTCTTGAACAAATCTATCAGGAAATGAAGTCTAATAGGAAAGAGGGAGGAAACAAACAAAGATGTGTCCTGAGCTATACCCCAGGCTTGGCCTGCACAGAGGGAGGGTTCTGGAGCATAAACCACACTGCAGAGTTACTCCTCTTGAGACCAGGATAGCCTTATACCCTGACTCAGTCAACCATTGGGAGTGAATGTCACCTGAAGGCAGAAAAATGGAAAGCAGCAACATTTTACTTGATCACGCCCCAGCTGCAGACTTGTGAGCAAAATAAATTTGAGCATTGTTTTAAGCCACTAAAGTTCTAAGGTGCTTTGTAATACAGCCATAGCAGCTGGAATACATGGGTTTTAAAGTTAGGTGAGATCTCACTTCACATAAAATAACTGTGTAATAACTTTGAAGAAGTTACTGAAATCCTCTGTGCTTTAGTAGAGTGAGTCCTTACCTTATAACATCTTCTTAGGAAGATTAAGGAATGTGTGTATATGTATATGTACATGTATATGTATTTGTATATGTATATACCATCAGCCCTCCTTATCCACGAGTTCTGCATTGGTGGATAAAACTAACCTCACATGGAAAATATTCAGAAAAAGAAATGTACGGGTGTGTCTGTACTGAACATGCACAACTCTTTCCTTGTCATTATTTCCTATATAATACAGTATAAAAATTATTTGCAAAGCCAGGCAGGTGGCTCATGCCTGTAATCCCAGCACTTTGGAAAGCTGAGGGGGGAGGATCACTTGAGGCCAGGAGTTTGAGACCAGCCTGGGTAACATAGTAAGATCCTGTCTCTAAAAAAAAAAAAAAAAAAAAAAAAAATTAAAAATTATTTGCATAATATTTACAGTGTATTTGGTATTATAAGTAACCTAGAGATGATTTACAGTATACAGGAAGGTGTTCATAGGTTATATGTAAATACTACACCATTTTATATAAGAAACTTGAGCATCTTATCCATGGATTTTGGTATCCACGGAGGGTCTTGGAATGAATCCCCTACGAATACCAAGAAACAACGATACCTTTGTGTGTGTGGATTACATTACACAGTACCTAATAAATAAGCGTAAGTTCCAGATATGGTACCAGACAAGCACTGTTCAACCAGTACAGATGAACCTTAACTTACAATAGGGTTGCATCTGATAAGCCCATTGTAAGTTGAAAATATCTTAAGTCAGAAATTCATTAAATACACCTAACCTACAGAACATTATACCTTGCCTTAGCCTGACTTAAATGTGCTTAGACCACTCACATTAGCCTACAGTTGGGCAAAATCATCTAACACCAAGCCTATTGTACAATAAAGTATTGAATATATTATGTAATAATATACTGAAAGTGAAAAACAAAGGGTTATATGAGTACTCAAAGTATACATTCTACTGAACACTTAACACTTTCACACCGTCATAAAGTCAAAAAATTGTAAGTTAAATCATCGTAAGTCAGTATTATGTGTATTAGAATCTGGATTGATTCATAGAAGTGACTTAGTCTATCTGAAGGTCCTCTGAATTAACAAAGGCATTTTTATGCGAATTTCCTTCATTTGTCACATAACAACCTTGTGATATTGTGATCTAATAGGAAGTATATAGTTGGTCTTCATCTCTGGGTCCTGGCACACAACATTTAAAATCCTTGAAATTTCTTGAGTGATAGGTGTGAGGAGTGTCTTTTGTTGTCCATAATAAATCCTTTTCAATTATATCTGAGTTTATGCTAATAGAGTGACTCTTGATGTATGTCTAGATAGCCTCAGGATGAAGGGTGGTTGCCATACAATGGGAGGGTTGGAACTTTCAGCTGCACCTCTGACCTCTGGGAAGGGGAGAGGAGCTGATCACCTATGGCTCAGTTTAATCAATCATGCCTATGTAATGGAAACTTCATAAACTCTCTGAATGATGTAGTTTACAGAGTTTTCATGATGGCTAATGCATCTATGTGCTAAGAAGGTGGCACATCCAACTCTACAGAGAATAAGCTACTGTACTCATGACCCAGTCCAGACCTGGCTTTATGTATCTCTCCATCTGGCTTCACAGTATCCTTCATAGAATCTTTCGTAATAAACTGGTAATGTTAAGCAAAATGTTTCCTTGAGTTCTGTGAGCTGTTACAGTAAATTATGGAACCTGAAGAAGGGGCTGTGGAAAGCCACAATTTGTAGTCATGTCAGACAGAAGTGTGGGTAACCTGGGGACTCGCTACTTTCAACTGATGCCTGAAGCAAGGGCAGTCTTGTGGGACTGAGCCCTTTCTCTGTTGGGTCTGTGCTAACGCTGGGTAGTTAGAGTCAGAATCGAATTGGATTGTAGGACACCCACGTATGATATCTCCAGAGACCTGGAGAATTGCTTGGTGTGGAAAACCCACATATTTGATGTCAAAAGTGTTATGAGCAGAGAAGCAGTTTTCCTATAAACCTAAACATAATTCTCTTCACATAGATGTTACCTTTCAAACAGTAACATTAATTTCAATGTGGTTTATGTACAATATGACTTAGAAGATGTCTAACTTGCTTTTCTAGTTCTTTTAATTGTGATGTTAGGGTGTCAATTTTGGATCTTTCCTGCTTTCTCTTGTAGGCATTTAGTGCTATAAATTTCCCTCTACACACTGCTTTGAATGCGTCCCAGAGATTCTGGTATGTCGTGTCTTTGTTCTCGTTGGTTTCAAAGAACATCTTTATTTCTGCCTTCATTTCGTTATGTACCCAGTAGTCATTCAGGAGCAGGTTGTTCAGTTTCCATGTAGTTGAGTGGCTTTGAGTGAGATTCTTAATCCTGAGTTCTAGTTTGATTGCACTGTGGTCTGAGAGATAGTTTGTTATAATTTCTGTTCTTTTACATTTGCTGAGGAGAGCTTTACTTCCAACTATGTGGTCAATTTTGGAATAGGTGTGGTGTGGTGCTGAAAAAAATGTATATTCTGTTGATTTGGGGTGGAGAGTTCTGTAGATGTCTATTAGGTCTGCTTGGTGCAGAGCTGAGTTCAATTCCTGGGTATCCTTGTTGACTTTCTGTCTCGTTGATCTGTCTAATGTTGACAGTGGGTGTTAAAGTCTCCCATTATTAATGTGTGGGAGTCTAAGTCTCTTTGTAGGTCACTCAGGACTTGCTTTATGAATCTGGGTGCTCCTGTATTGGGTGCATAAATATTTAGGATAGTTAGCTCCTCTTGTTGAATTGATCCCTTTACCATTATGTAATGGCCTTCTTTGTCTCTTTTGATCTTTGTTGGTTTAAAGTCTGTTTTATCAGAGACTAGGATTGCAACCCCTGCCTTTTTTTGTTTTCCATTGGCTTGGTAGATCTTCCTCCATCCTTTTATTTTGAGCCTATGTGTGTCTCTGCACGTGAGATGGGTTTCCTGAATACAGCACACCGATGGGTCTTGACTCTTTATCCAACTTGCCAGTCTGTGTCTTTTAATTGCAGAATTTAGTCCATTTATATTTAAAGTTACAAGAGCAAACACATTCAAAAGCTAGCAGAAGGCAAGAAATAACTAAAATCAGAGCAGAACTGAAGGAAATAGAGACATAAAAAACCCTTCAAAAAATCAATGAATCCAGGAGCTGGTTTTTTGAAAGGATCAACAAAATTGATAGACCGCTAGCAAGACTAATAAAGAAAAAAAGAGAGAAGAATCAAATAGACACAATAAAAAATGATAAAGGGGATATCACCACCGATCCCACAGAAATACAAACTACCATCAGAGAATACTACAAACACCTCTACGCAAATAAACTAGAAAATCTAGAAGAAATGGATACATTCCTCGACACATACACTCTCCCAAGACTAAACCAGGAAGAAGTTGAATCTCTGAATAGACCAATAACAGGCTCTGAAATTGTGGCAATAATCAATAGTTTACCAACCAAAAAGAGTCCAGGACCAGATGGATTCACAGCCGAATTCTACCAGAGGTACAAGGAGGAACTGGTACCATTCCTTCTGAAACTATTCCAATCAATAGAAAAAGAGGGAATCCTCCCTAACTCATTTTATGAGGCCAGCATCATTCTGATACCAAAGCCGGGCAGAGACACAACCAAAAAAGAGAATTTTAGACCAATATCCTTGATGAACATTGATGCAAAAATCCTCAATAAAATACTGGCAAACCGAATCCAGCAGCACATCAAAAAGCTTATCCACCATGATCAAGTGGGCTTCATCCCTGGGATGGAAGGCTGGTTCAATATACGCAAATCAATAAATGTAATCCAGCATATAAACAGAGCCAAAGACAAAAACCACATGATTATCTCAATAGATGCAGAAAAAGCCTTTGACAAAATTCAACAACCCTTCATGCTAAAAACTCTCAATAAATTAGGTATTGATGGGACGTATTTCAAAATAATAAGAGCTATCTATGACAAACCCACAGCCAATATCATACTGAATGGGCAAAAACTGGAAGCATTCCCTTTGAAAACTGGCACAAGACAGGGATGCCCTCTCTCACCGCTCCTATTCAACATAGTGTTGGAAGTTCTGGCCAGGGCAATCAGGCAGGAGAAGGAAATAAAGGGTATTCAATTAGGAAAAGAGGAAGTCAAATTGTCCCTGTTTGCAGACGACATGATTGTTTATCTAGAAAACCCAATCGTCTCAGCCCAAAATCTCCTTAAGCTGATAAGCAACTTCAGCAAAGTCTCAGGATACAAAATCAATGTACAAAAATCACAAGCATTCTTATACACCAACAACAGACAAACAGAGAGCCAAATCATGAGTGAACTCCCATTCACAATTGCTTCAAAGAGAATAAAATACCTAGGAATCCAACTTACAAGGGATGTGAAGGACCTCTTCAAGGAGAACTACAAACCACTGCTCAAGGAAATAAAAGAGGACACAAACAAATGGAAGAACATTCAATGCTCATGGGTAGGAAGAATCAATATCGTGAAAATGGCCATACTGCCCAAGGTAATTTACAGATTCAATGCCATCCCCATCAAGCTACCAATGACTTTCTTCACAGAATTGGAAAAAACTACTTTAAAGTTGATATGGAACCAAAAAAGAGCCGGCATCGCCAAGTCAATCCTAAGCCAAAAGAACAAAGCTGGAGGCATCACACTACCTGACTTCAAACTATACTACAAGGCTACAGTAACCAAAACAGCATGGTTCTGGTACCAAAACAGAGATATAGATCAATGGAACAGAACAGAGCCCTCAGAAATAATGCCGCATATCTACAACTATCTGATCTTTGACAAACCTGAGAAAAACAAGCAATGGGGAAAGGATTCCCTATTTAATAAATGGTGCTGGGAAAACTGGCTAGCCACATGTAGAAAGCTGAAACTGGATCCCTTCCTTACACCTTATACAAAAATCAATTCAAGATGGATTAAAGATTTAAACGTTAGACCTAAAACCATAAAAACCCTAGAAGAAAACCTAGGCATTACCATTCAGGACATAGGCGTGGGCAAGGACTTCATGTCCAAAACACCAAAAGCAATGGCAACAAAAGCCAAAATTGACAAATGGGATCTAATTAAACTAAAGAGCTTCTACACAGCAAAAGAAACTACCATCAGAGTGAACAGGCAACTTACAACATGGGAGAAAATTTTCGCAACCTACTCATCTGACAAAGGGCTAATATCCAGAATCTACAATGAACTCAAACAAATTTACAAGAAAAAAACAAACAACCCCATCAAAAAGTGGGCGAAGGACATGAACAGACACTTCTCAAAAGAAGACATTTATGCAGCCAAAAAACACATGAAGAAATGCTCATCATCACTGGCCATCAGAGAAATGCAAATCAAAACCACTATGAGATATCATCTCACACCAGTTAGAATGGCAATCATTAAAAAGTCAGGAAACAACAGGTGCTGGAGAGGATGTGGAGAAATAGGAACACTTTTACACTGTTGGTGGAACTGTAAACTAGTTCAACCATTGTGGAAGTCAGTGTGGCGATTCCTCAGGGATCTAGAACTAGAAATACCATTTGACCCAGCCATCCCATTACTGGGTATATACCCAAAGGACTATAAATCATGCTGCTATAAAGACACATGCACACGTATGTTTAATGCGGCACTATTCACAATAGCAAAGACTTGGGACCAACCCAAATGTCCAACAATGATAGACTGGATTAAGAAAATGTGGCACATATACACCATGGAATACTATGCAGCCATAAAAAATGATGAGTTCATGTCCTTTGTAGGGACATGGATGAAATTGGAAACCATCATTCTCAGTAAACTATCGCAAGAACAAAAAACCAAACACCGCATATTTTCACTCATAGGTGAGAATTGAACAATGAGATCACATGGACACAGGAAGGGGAATATCACACTCTGGGGACTGTGGTGGGGTTGGGGGAGGGGGGAGGGATAGCATTGGGAGATATACCTAATGCTAGATGACACGTTAGTGGGTGCAGCGCACCAGCATGGCACATGTATACATATGTAACTAACCTGCACAATGTGCACATGTACCCTAAAACTTAGAGTATAATAAAAAAAAAAAAGAAAATTAAAAAGTAAAAAAAAAAAAAAAAAAAAAATTAAACCCCCCCCAAAAAAAAAAAAAAAGATGTCTAACTTATCTCAAAAACAAAAAAAGTACAATTAACCAAAATGATAGCTTATTGTTAACTTAAATGAAACATATTTTGTAAGTTTCTCTGCTATAAATTTACATCCATCATTTCATCTGACATCACAAAATATCTATGATGAATGTTGGTAAACCTCATTTCACAGATAAGGAAAGAGAGACTGCAGTTAAATTGCCTGATCAAGGATACAATGTTAATATGTAGTAGAGTGGCAATTTTAAATAAATAAGATCTGTTTACTAAGTTAACATGGTCATTTTAAAAGTTTAGTGACCTCCCACTGAGTTGTAAACTCAGAATTACAAACTAAGTGTCCATTATTTCAGGCATTACTTCTTAAATAACTGCAAATTGCTTTTCTTCCCCTTTTACTCACCTTTCCTGGAAGAACCAGTAGATATCAAACTTGAAAATTGGTAATTACAAAATGGTAGAAGGAACAAAAAAGCCATTTTGTGCTATTCCAAGGGTAATGAAAGACAAAGGATACTCTTTCAACTCAAAATAAGGAAGAATTTTTCAACAATCATTGCTGTACAGCATTGCAAGAACTATTTGTAAAGGAAACAACTTCAGAAAACATATTTAGTAAAAGTTCCATGAAACTGCATCCTGAAATCCTTTGACTATATTTTTTTCTATCTGCCCCCAAGTATTTAAGTTCCAGCCAATTTTAGGTTAGCAGAATATTTATCTCAGAGACTTGTGGAAAAGTATATTTTTGGCCCTTTGAATTATTTTAATAGTATTTAATTTATATGTTAACATTAAATATAGTACAAATATATACAAGCTTACCCGTATTCCAATGAACTTTAAGTATCTATAAAAATATGTTACCCTTACTCTCCAATACTCTGTGTGTGCATGTATTGTCATTTTGCAATACACTAGGAAATCCTGCCATTTTTAATCTGTTAAAATCTCAGAATTTAATTAGCAAAGCAGATTAGCACACTTTGCCTCTAGGACCTACCAATTCTGTGCCCTAGACCCTTTTATCAGGAATGGTACCAGGTTGATATTTTCATGGGCAGTCAATAAATGTTGTTTCCAGCCTGACACCAGTAATAACTCTCCAGGTTTTAAAGACCAGTTTATCATCTTGGCTTTCCATCCTTGAAAATAGGTTGTTAAAGTGAAAAATATAAAGGATTTTTATAGCTCCACTTCCCTCAACTACCTTTATACTAATATTAATTTTATTTTAATTCAATGCCATCTTAAACTTCTCTTGCACATGATTTGTTCACCAAATTACTATAGTTTCTGGACTGCTAAGACAGCCACAATTCAGAGGCCAGACCCAAGTGGTAAAGGACATTTTGTGTCAAAATAGAACCTGGAGAAATTCCAGTTGGTGAACACACCGTGGGGTATATATATCTTAGAAGTAAAGTAGTTATCTAGTACTTTATGGACTTCTGCACAATACAGCTAGACATAATATGTCCGGAATTGGTAGGTTCTTGGTCTCACTGACTTCAAGAACGAAGCTGTGGACCCTCGCGGTGAGTGTTACAGCTCTTAAGGTGGCACGTCTGGAGTTTGTTCCTTCTGATGTTCAGATGTGTCCGGAGTTTCTTCCTTCTGGTGGGTTCGTGGTCTCGCTGGCTCAGGAGTGAAGCTGCAGACCTTCGCGGTGTGTTACAGCTCTTAAGGCAGCACGTCTGGAGTTGTTCATTCCTCCTGGTGGGCTCGTGGTCTCACTGGGCTCAGGAGTGAAGCTGCAGATCTTCGCAGTGACTGTTACAGCTCATAAAAGCAGCGTGGACCCAAAGAGTGAGCAGTAGCAAGATTTATTGCAAAGAGCGAAAGAACAAAGCTTCCACAGTGTGAAAGGCGACCCAAGCAAGTTGCCAATGCTGGCTGGGGCAGCCTGCTCTTATTCTCTTATCTGGCCCCACCCACATCCTGCTGATTGGTAGAGCCGGGAGTGGCCTGTTTTGTCAGGGCGCTGATTGGTGCGTTTACAATCCCTGAGCTAGATACAAAGGTTCTCCACATCCCCATCAGATTAGTTAGATACAGAGTTTCGACACACAGGTTCTCCAAGGCCCCACCAGAGCAGCTAGATACAGAGTGTTGATTGGTGCATTCACAAACCTTGAGCTAAACACAGGGTGCTGATTGGTGTGTTTACAAACCTTGAGCTAAACACAGGGTGCCGATTGGTGTGTTTACAAACCTTGAGCTAGATACAGAGTGCCGATTGGTGTATTTACAATCCCTGAGCTAGACATAAAGGTTCTCCACGTCCTCACCAGAGCAGCTAGACACAGAGTGTGGATTGGTGCACTCACAAAACCTTGAGGTAAACACAGGGTGCTGACTGGCGTGTTTACAGACCTTGAGCTAGATACAGAGTGTCAATTGGTGTATTTACAATCCCTGAGCTAGTCATAAAGGTTCTCCAAGGCCCCACCAGAGCAGCTAGATACAGAGTGTCGATTGGTGCACTCACAAACCTTGAGCTAAACACAGGGTGCTGATTGGTGTAGTTACAATCCCTGAGCTAGATATAAAGACGCTCCAGGTCCCCACCAGACTCAGGAGCCCAGCTGGCTTCACCTAGTGGATCCGGCAGCGGGGCTGCAGGTGGAGCTGCCTGCCAGTCCCGAGCCGTGTGCTCGCACTCCTCAGCCCTTGGGTGGTCGATGGGACTGGGCGCCCTGGAGCAGGGGGCGGTGCTCGTCGGGGAGGCTTGGCCGCACAGGAGCCCACGGAGGGGGTGGGAGGCTCAGGCATGGCGGGCTGCAGGTCCCGAGCCCTGCCCCGTGGGAAGGTAGCTAAGGCTCAGTGAGAAATCGAGCGCAGCACCGGTGGGCCGGCACTGCTGGGGGACCCAGTACACCCTCCGCAGCCGCTGGCCCGGGTGCTAAGTCCCTCATTGCCCGGGGCCAGGAGGGCTGGCCTGCTGCTCCGAGTGCGGGGCCCGCCAAGCCCCTGCCCACCCGGAACTCCAGCTGGCCCGCAAGCGCCGCACGCAGCCCCGGTTGCCGCTCGCGCCTCTCCCTCCACACCTCCCTGCAAGCTGAGGGAGTGGGCTCTGGCCTGCCCAGAAAGGGGCTCCCACAGTGCAGTGGGGGACTGAAGGGCTCCTCAAATGCCGCCAAAGTGGGAGCCCAGGCAGGGGAGGTGCCCAGAGCAAGCGAGGACTCTGAGGACTGCCAGCACGCTGTCACCTCTCAATAATACATTCAGATAAAAGGCAGCCATAGATAACACTTCTAGAGAACTACCCACAGAACCCCTATAATCTATAGCACGTAAGCTGAGCATACAAGTAGGTTATTAGGCATAATCTCTACAATTTTAAGTTAAGTGCCCACAGGATCTTAGATGAATAGATGGTGGGCTTAGCAGTTCGGGATGCATTTTACAAGGTGCTGCAGTATTAGAGGCTTAATAATAAACCTTTTCTAAAAGAATCAAATATTATTTATTCTTTGCTACCCAACCTAAAACAACTTATCAGAATTATTCAATGGAGAGTCACACAGGCTGACCATTTTCTAATACTCAGGAATATACTTTAAATTCTTGCAAAATTCTATTTATTTTGGTTAACTGACAGCTATTTTAATTACATGACTTTAGAAACTTCACAATCCTTTGCTAGGAAAGCAGACATTTGGAAACTGGGATTCTAGTTGTATACCTAACAGTGCTTCAAAATCTCTCTGAGACTTACTTTATATATAAAATTAGAATAATCAAGATGATTTTCATTGTTATTTCCATTTCTATTAACAATGGAGGGGTGTGTGTGTGTGTGTGTATATATACATATACACAAAACTATCTGTATTCTAATGTACTTTAAATAAGTATAAAAATTATTTATATACACACACACACTTTCCTGTGACTAGTTTATAAAGAAAATATTTCAAAATAAAATTAAAGAAACATGATTTGATTAAATAGAGTTCTATTTTTAAAAATAACAAAAGATAAGGTCGGGCGCGGTGGCTCACACCTATAATCCCAGCACTTTGGGAGGCCGAGGCGGGCGGATCACGAGGTCAGCAGATCGAGACCATCCTGGCTAACACAGTGAAACCCTGTCTCTACTAAAAATACAAAAAGTTAGCTGAGCGTGGTGGCGGTGCCTGTAGTCCCAGCTACTCAGGAGGCTGTGGTAGGAGAATGGCGTGAACCCAGGAGGCCAAGCTTGCAGTGAGCCAAGATCACGCCACTGCACACCAGCCTGGGCAAAAGAGTGAGACTCCTTCTCAAAAAAAAAAAAAAATATATATATATATATATATTTATATATATTTATATATAAATATATATAAATATATAAATATATATAAAAATATATATAAATATATATAAATATATATAAATATATATATAAATATATATATAAATATATATAAATATATATATAAATATATATAAATATATATAAATATATATATAAATATATAAATATATATAAAATATATATAAATATATATATATAAATATATATATAAATATATATATAAATATATATAAATATATATAAATATATATAAATATATATATAAATATATATATAAATATATATAAATATATATAAATATATATATAAATATATATAAATATATATAAATATATATATAAATATATATAAATATATATATAAATATATATAAATATATATATAAATATATATATAAAAATATATATATAAATATATATATAAATATATATATATATAAGAAACAAAAGATAAACTGACATTGCATTATGAAAACTAATGATCCAAAAAGTTGGGCAAAGCCAACCAGTAAAAGAAAGAATAGTTATTGACTCTATTACTTTGTTCTCTTACTTTAAACAATAGAAAGAAAAAAAAAAAAAAACTAGTCCGAGTGCGGTGGCTCATGCCTGTAATCCCAGCCACTCAGGAGGCTGAGGCAGGAGAATTGCTTGAACCTGGGAGGCAGAGGTTGCAGTGAGCAGAGATCACGCCACTGCACTCCAGCCTGGGCAACAGAGCGAGACTCCATCTCTAAAGAAAAAAAAAAGAAAAGAAAGAAAAAGAAACTGAAATATTTAAAACGCATATATTAGAGATTGTCATTGTTACTTAAGAAAAAATTAGAATATGAATGCTTGTCTATAATATCTAATTTTTCATGGAAAATGAATGAATATGGCATTTAGTGCTTTATTGTTATTTTATATTATAGTACTTTATATTAAAGATTAAAAGAAGCAGACACTAAGAGTTTCTTTTATTTTCAATGGGCCCGAACATTCTGTATGGTGACGAATCAGAAACGTAATATGTTAGTGACTTTCTCTCCTATCTACATAATACAGATTACAGTGCTTTTTTTTCTCCTTCCACATACAAAGACAAAAGAAAAAGAAAGTGCTTTTTGCTTTGATTACCACGACACAAAAGTTAAAAGCATGCACATAAATTACCAATTATATTAAATTAATATTAACATTTAATGATTAGTAATTTTTATACTGGGACACATGTAACAAAAAAATAAGGAAAATAAATTAGATGTTTTTCAAGTCTCAATATACTGTTCTCAAATATAATTCCTCCAAAAATAATGAAAATAGTTTATACATGCATATACAATGTGCTACTGAATATAAATGCAATTTTACAATGATACTACCAAGTCATGTTCTTTGTAACAATGTTAGCATTTATGCACCATTTCTATCAGCATTGATGCTGAACTGTTCACCACCTGACCCTTGACTAATTGAGGGGCTGCTACTCAGGGCTTTCCTTCAACTATTCTGCAGTGTCAGTCAGCAAGTTTCCACTAACCAACGATAGCTTGGCCTGATTGGTGACAACTGTAGATTTTCAGATTTTGGACATAAAGTGTTGAATAAGGAGAATGCTAAAAATGTTATGACTGTGTTCTTCCATACAAATCTAAGGATTTCTTAAGCAAATAAATAACCAGCCTAACTCACAAGTAAATAAAGAGAGAAATAAACTTAACGCATACTCGATAAACTATTTGCTACTTAGAAGTAAAAATCTTAACCTTTGTCTCTAGACATCATGGAAAAGAACAGCTTTGCTCAGATTCCAGCTCTGGTCACAGAATAAAATGTACATCTGCCTGCCTAAAATAAATATAAATATATACATATGTACACATAATTTTTGAAAAGAAACTATGAAATCTCACTGCTAAAGAGACTGCTGATATATGTATTAAAAATGTGAGCTTAAATTTTCCAAGTGACTAGTACCACACAGAGTCGTGCTGGCTTTGTAGAAGGCAAATCTCTTTTACAGAATTTTATGAGCCTAAAACTGCGGAATAAATAATAGACAAGTCGATTTTTATTCTTGAACTCTTATGTTACATCAAATAACAATCAAAAGCATATTTTGAATTATGAGACTATAATATTTTATACCAGGGTTCTATTGGCCACATAAGCCACTTGCTTTCATTATAACAACCTTTTATGTAATTACAGTCCGATGATTTAGAATAGCTTATTAAATATTTGATATCATTCATCATCCACAAACATTTTAATTCTGACCATTGTCTAGATGGATAGATCAGGGAGGAGAGTTGAGATGTAAAACTAAAACCATGTTAAACACTTAGGATCACTGTAAGAGATCAGTGTAAGGAAGCACTGTAAGAGCTTCAAAAAAAGCACTAGACTTCCTGTACAAAACATTTTTAAATGGTAAATCTGACTATCAGTTCTCTACAGTGCAATGTTTGTTTGGGGGTTGTAACCTGTACAAATTGGAGTCATCAAGGATGCAATATATCTCTCTGAGACTCAGTTTTCTTTCTGTAAACCGAGGATGCTAATTTCACAATATATAAAATTCAGTCTAGCTAGCTCTGGTATTCTGGTATAGAATCTAGATACACAATCCAGAAATCAAATAGGCTCTTGCAAGAAAACACTACCTTCATTTCTGTGCATGTGAAAATATTTATTACTTCAAGAGAAGGATACTGAGATTTCTTCCTTTCAGAGCTATCTCTTAAAAGAAGGGAATAAATGTGAATCACCAAACACAAGATCTTTCCCAAAATCTTGAACCTAATTCTCAGGGGTAATTTATTCATCTCTGCAGTGCTTTCCAAATAGTTATCTAACTGGATGAATATTTCTTGTTCCACTTTTTTTTTTCCCACAGAAATTAGATTTTTAGTTTCTAAGCCAATATTTTAAGATCTGCATGAAGAATATTGTGCTTTTTCTTGGCAAACATGGCACATGAAAAAACATTTCTACTGTCTGCTAAAATGAAAGCATGAAGCATCAGAAATTGAAACAAACTCTGTACATTTATTATAACTTAAAACTTTCAATTAGTTTTAGGTACCAACTAAAAATCCTTCATATTAAAAACCTCCAAAATAATAAACAAGTGTCCTATGAATACAAAAGGTATACCTAGAAATTATATCACTTTTTAATATTTATCTTTGAACTGGTTTTATCAAGTAAAACTTCTTATAGTGTTATAACTAAAGTAAGCATGAATATATACAATACATTATATGTGGAAATCTTCATAGAGTTTTTATAATATAGAATTCACAAATCTTAAAATATTTAAAAGTTAATTTAGTTAATCCATGTTTATTGAACATCCCTGTATTTTATTTCATTTTTTGATAATACCATGTTTTTAAATTGGATAAATAAATCAAGGAACTTTTGCACTGTGTATTATCTGCATGCAAAATTTTCAAATTCCTTAGTAGATAATTTTTATGATTGTGAAGCCTATTGTCACATTTGCTTAAGCATTTTTAGTTTGGACAATTTGTGTGCTTTTATCACCTCCTGCATTTAGTCTGGTTTCATTTGTTCATTTCCAAAAGTATCTCTTTCATGAAGGTGCAAGCCTAAACAGACTTTGGAATAGTAGAATATTCGAAAGATGTTTTAATAAACCCTGAAAGACTTCAATTCAGGATATTTGTTCTATAAGATGGTCAAAACATTTAAGATTAGTTGCAACTTAAAGTAGTTTTGTTTCAACATTTTATATACAAAATGTTTTATTTAAATGTTCTCTTATCAAAAAGGCGTTTCATTAAATTAAGTGATTTGTCATTTAGAGCTTGATATCTTAGAAACAATGTTTCTTTTAACAGAAATACATATCAAATGTTACCATGATTATGGGACAAATAAGATCCAATAAACAGATATTCAGAAAATATATAGCAAACTCTGTATGGAGCAAATAAATCTGTAATATACAATAAAATGCAGCTATCGCTTTACAGAAGCACTTTCTTTTATTGGAGACATATTGGCTAATCCATTTCTATTTTGTTGTGTATCCTTACAGCCCTTTATGTTTGTCCCCAAATTGTTAAGTGCATACTGGCGGACATCCATCAGTTCATTCAGGCCTCCCTGAAATGACCCTCAAAGGCTACCTCTAGACTTCATGCAGAAAGTAATTTTATTTTTTAAAGGAATGGTGATGCTATAGCCATAGAACACCTCTTCAGATATCTTTGTAAGATAAGAATCATTTTCCATCAAAACAAATGTGACTATTTTCAATGTACTCACTCTATCTGGGTCACTAATAAATTCTTTTTTCACCCTCTTCTGCTGTCAAGGATAATTATAAATGATATCAGAGAATGATTTCCATCTTTTCTCAAGAAACAGCATAGTGTCAGGATAGGATGTTTTACATTTGTTGGTGGAAGGAGAACTGGAAAAGGACAGCCCTTGAGAAAGTTTGTGAATTAAGTCATTTGCCTTTTTCCTGGTACCACTGGATTCTTTCTCTGCCAATTTCTAGACACTGAAACTTTCCACACAACTTTTAACTCTTGCCTCTTTGGGTAACTTTCATCATTGAAAATATCTGATGCATTGTTAGATAATAATTTGCACATTATTTCGGACTAGAACAATAATGGCATGACTTTAGCCCTGTGATTGGTTGGCAAAAGATATCTTTTCTTGTGAAAAATTCTTGGTAAAATACGTGGTTAACATATGTTGAAGGACACCTCTTGATTGGCCAAATTTATGGCTGGGAAAAAACTGAATTAAATGTGTTTATGAGCCTTAAAAGCTGTATCATTTTATTACCTGTCTTACTATTACACCGTTTGCTTTTTGATGAATATTTTGGGTAATAAAATAGAGATGAATTGCCCATTTCTGATGATATATACTTGCATAAATACACCACATCGGAAACAGATAATATATGTGTGTGTGTTTCTGAATCTTTGGTGTTATTTTCTTTAAATGCACAAGGATGGTCTGCGAAGACTGATTCACCTATTGGCATTAACACCTTGGTCCAAATCACCTTTTTTATAGTTTCCAAGTATCCCATCTGACCTTAGTGGCAACTCATTTTGAAAAATGATGAGCATTATGCTGTATTTCACATTAGAAGTATGGATGCAAAAAGCATATTACAAAGGATGAAAAATGTAACTACATGTTGCAATCTATTTCTTATGTAGGTCATTCTCTTTGGTCCTCACTTGAAAGCATTACCATTTCCAGGAGATGTTACAAAAAAATAAAAAGCAATTACCACCGCATCTCAGTTAGAGGAGCTTATAGTATTAAGGGTTCATCGCATTTTTCACTCTTCCTCTTTTCCCATCTGAAAAACAGTGTTACGTGGTCTCAGGCCAAGAAGTTGCGATTTTACTTTTCCATTAGGATTTTTTTCTTTAGCCTTACAAAAAAAATTCAACTTGGGAGTAGGACTTTTTAAAAGAGTAGTAAAAAATAAAGAACGGATACTCACCCTTTTATTGAACAAGGAACTGTGATAGACGATGCTCAGTCTTTCAATACCATCACTGAATATTAAAATGGCATTACTACTTCAGTAAAAACTTTCCATTATCCACAATAGTTTTCCAATTTAAGAAAACGTTCACAAAACTTGAAATTCAGCAAATTTAGACTATACGAATACCCCAAATTTGAATATATATATATATATATATATATATGATGCAAATGGAAGATTTCACCAATCTAAATAAAAGCTATGAATCCAAATGGCTTAATTCAAATTATTAAGATATATTAAAATAATATTAAGATTATTATATATAATTTTAACATTCAAAATAATTTCTACTATATTTTACAAACTTATTCTCTAAGGAAGGCAGAACATTGTCATTAGTATTTTATTAATAGGGAAGCAGGAGCCGCAGTGACAAGAATTTTCAAAGTTGCCAAGCTGGAGTGAATGGCAGGATTGAAATTAGACATTTGTCTCTTGAAACATAAACCAATAAATACACTATTATATGCCTAGAAAAATTAATTCATTAATTAATTGTTTAGATAACCAAAATTGGGAACATAATTTTGTTAGACCGACTTATGATGGATTTGTATTTACTTGTATTTTACAAGTACCAGAGCTTTGTTGGTTATTTTGAGACTTGAGACTTCATTTGGAAATCTGACAAGTAGTCTGGAAATATTTTGGTCTTAATTATTTTAAAAGAAATCTAAAAGAGGGAAGAAAAGAGATTTGAGAATTATATCTCTCCCCTCAAAACACCTTATACTTCTAATATCCAATTCTTTGATGGCATTTTCTAACAGTTATGAACCAACTGCAAATATTTTCTTCATATAGAATTGATTGTAAACAATTTATATTTTAAGCTTGGTTATGTTAATTTTTAATGCATGCAACTTGAAATATTATACTTGGAGAAACTCCCTCTATATTATTCATTTATGTATCCAATTTTGAATACATTCATAAACTTTTATGATTTCCTGTTATTGAATCTAAGACTGAGTAAAAAATCATATGCCAATTTTTAATGACTAAATTAATTGAGATATTGTATATGAAAATATGTAGCTCATTATAAGTGTTAAATATCACCTTCCCTATTCACAAGGGCAGATTGCCAATTTCCTTTGTAAGTGATAACAATGGTAGGACATGATGTACTAGTACATTAAGGGATTTTAATTTTTTTGTGGGGGGAGGGTGGGGTTGCGGGGCAAATGTGGGGAGGGGAACAGGGTCTCACTTTGTTACTCTGGCTGGAGCTTAGTAGTGTAATGTCGGCTCACTGCAGCCTCAACCTCCTGGGCTCAAGGGATTCTCCCACCTCAGTCCCCCTCCAAGTAGCTGGGACTACGGTCACAAGCCACCCTGCCTGACTAATTTTTTCCTATTTTTTTGTAGAGGTGGGGTTTTGGCATGTTACCCAGTCTGGTCTCAAACTCCTGAGCTCAAGCAATCTGCCTGCCTCCGCCTCCCAAAGCACTAGGATTACAGGAATGCACACCATGCCCAGCCTAGGAACTTCAATTTCAAGTGTTCATCTTCAATGTTAACTTCATTTATGGAAATACTAAGCTTGATATCACTACCTACAGCTTTTCCTGGCACATAGAGAGTGCTCAATTATCTGTCGACATCAGCAGATGATATGAAATGAAAGATGTCAGCACATTTCTTACTCGATTTTTCTCATTTCTAACTGCTATAATCCTTTCTAAGGTCGGCATTAAATGACGTGGCATATCAGAATGCTATATTATGTGCTATGAAAGTAGAACCAAAATAGAGGACTAATAGCCTTTATTTTTTATTTGTCCTCAGACATGCCATGCGTTAGACTTAGAAGGTTAAAAAAATCATAATGAGTGGCAAATTCTGGATTTGGAGAGATCTGTTTGACATCAATCATGAGGTGTTAATCATTGTGTTATATTATTTTCTAAATGATCTTATATAGGTAAAAATTTAAAAAAAAAAAACCTATGAAAACCTATGGGATCTGCCTTCACAGCAAACCAGTAAACCAGTGTCCAATCATTCCCATCATAGGCATAGACAGACAAATCTCAGTGCGGCATCTTAGCAGGAATTAAGTCAGGGAAGGAAGCCAACAATTTCTATTAAACATTCCTGGAAGTCAAGAATATTGTTTTTCATTCACTACCCACTCTTTTGGGATCATCAATATTTTCTAAATCAATAAAGTATATACTTGAATATTTTAAGGAAGGAGACACTTATAAAAGTCATGTAACCAATGGTTTGCACATCAAAAAGTCCTTGATGGAAAAATTAGTAAAATCTCCAAGAGAATCACCATATATCTCTAGCTGAGACCAAGGTTGCTGCTGCCCAGATCACTGGGGAGGAAGGGAAAGTTTGTCTATTTCCAGCCCATTGATCCAATATTGGAAACAAGCTCCAAGTTCGTTATACATTAATATATCAAGCTTAATATGATGAATGTGTTTAAAATGTGAAAAGAAATATCTTAGTCTTATACCCTTAGGGGAGAATAATTAAAATTGATTTAATATTTTATAACAGCTCAAGCTAAAGTGACTTATGGTTAGTATAATAGAAAAGACTATTTTAGCTCAAAAGCAAGCCCACTTGAAAGTAAACTTTACATGTAAACAGAATTAGGAGAAAACAGTTGTTTTTCTAGCCTAGTGATCAACACAAATCTTTTTATCTATGAAACATGAAGTAGAGAAATATGAATTTTAGAATCTCCCTTGGTTTCATACAAATTTGACTCTGGCAACATGTTTTTATCAAGTAGAGATTAATAATCTTGCCACTTGGGAGTCATGACCACAGTGACACTGTGACAAAAGTTAAAAGGAACACAAAGGTAGATTACAGTTTCCTACTTAAATATCCTTTTCTTCATGATTGTATCAGAAACTTCACATTTCAAAGATCAACTGGTATACTTGTTTGTAATGTAGCTCTACTGATTTTATTTTCCATGGAGTAAAAATCCCTATGCTATAACCAGAAACCATAATAGCATATAATTTATAAGATGAAGATGGAAGATTTCACTAATCTAAATAACAGTATGAATCCAAATGGCAATTTTTTTAAATCAGAGTTAAGCCAGGTTTTTTTTTTAGCCTCATGATAATTGAAACACAGGTTTAATGTACTTCTATATTATTGTAAGAACATAAAACTTACAGTGAATCTGGGGAAAAATCTGCAGATTTATGAATTCTTATCTCATCTAGAATTCCAGCACTGCTTCGCAATCACCAATCCTTTATTATATCTCCCTTTCTGATATGCAAGAGTGGACAGATCTCTGGAATTCTTCCCTTGAATTTAACATTACCTTTGTTTTTGCTCTTCTCCTTTAGATTGTTTTTCAGTCTCTCTTACTAGATCTTCTTTTATATCCTGAGTTTTCCACTTTTCATTTCTTATTATTCTGGAATTGGGACTATTTTCTTCTTCTGCACGTTCTTCCCAAAGTATACCGAGGTAGTGGCTTCACTTAACCTCCCAAATCTATATTGGCACATCAGCCTCTCTATTACATACCATCTTTAATTATTTATTTTAATTAATTAATTTATTTTTTTGAGATGGAGTCTTACTGCGTCATCCAGGCTGGAGTGCAGTGGCACGATCTCGACTCACTGCAACCTCCACCTACTGGGTTCAAGCGATTCTCCTGCCTCAGCCTCCCGAGTAGCCCGGACCACAGGCGTGCTCCACCACCCCCGGCTAAATTTTGTATTTTTAGTAGAGACGGCGTTTCACCATGTTGGCCAGGCTGATCTTGAACTCCTGACCTCAGATGATCCACCCACCTCGACCTCCCAAAGTGTTGGGATTACAGACGTGAGCCACCACACCCAGACCATCTTTATTTTTTTAATAGTAATTGTAGCTAACATTTCTTGGGCACTTATACTCTGTGCCAAACCTACGTGGAACGTTTGACATGCATTAACTCATTTAATCTTTCTGTGTATCTATGCATTTATTTATTATTTGTACAAACGTATGGGATACATGTCAAATTTTGTTAAAATATATAATGTCTAGTGATCAAATCAGCATATTTAGAGTGCCTATCTCCTGAATACAATATATTTTTGTTAAACTACCATCACCCTACTCTGTTATCAAACATTGAATTTATTCCATCTTACTGCATGTTTGTACCTTTTAACCTACTTATCTTCTTCCCTCCTTCCCCTAACTCACCCTTCCCAGTCTCTTTTCTCCATCTTTCCACTTTCTGCCTCCATGTGATCAGATTTTTTAGCGCTCACAAATAAGTGAGAAAATGTGGTATTTGTCTTTTTGTGCCTGGTTTATTTCACTTAAAATAATGATCTTCAGTTACATTTATGTTGCCACAGATGACATAATTTCATTCTTTCTTATGACTGAAGAGTATTCTAATATGTACACGTAAATTTTCTTTATTGATTCATCTCTTTCTGGGAACTTATAATTGAAACACAGGTTTAATGTGAAAGATGTGATTCCACATCTTTCCTATTGTGAATAGTGCTGCAATAAACATATGAGTGCCAGTATTCTTTAATATATTAATTTGTTTTTCTTTGGATGGATAACCACTAGTGGGATTGCTGGATTTAATTGTAGTTCTATTTTTAGCTTTTTGAGTAATCTCTATACTGTTTTCACTAGTGGTTGTACTAGTTTACATTCCCACTACAGCCTGGCCAACATAGTTAAACCCTGTCTCTAAAAAATAAAAATAAAACAAACAACAATAAAGAGATAACTAAGAAAAGCTCTAAACTGTAACTTCCCTTCACAATTTTTAACTTTGTTGCTTTTATTTATCTTATTACACTATGCCTTAAAAAGTTGTTATAGTTAATGTTTTTGATAGGTTCATATTTTAGTCTTTTTATTCAAGACACATGTAGTTTGCATACAACAATTACAGTATCATTGTATTGTGTTTTTCTGTGTACTTACTATTACCAGTGGGTTTTACACCTTTAGATGTTTTTTTCTTTTCTCATTAATATCCTCTTCTTTCAGATCTGAGAGCTCTCTAGCATTTCTTGCATAAAATGTCTGGAGTTGAAATTTCTCAGCTTTTGTTTTCTGCAAAAGTCATTATTTCTCATTCATGTTTGAAGGATACTTATGTTGGATATAATATTCCAGGATAAAAGTTTTTTCTTTTCTTTTGTCATTTTAAATATATCATGCCACTCTCTCCTAGCTGTAAGATTCCCACTGAGAAATCTGCTTTCAACTGTATAGGAGCCCCTTTATATGCTATTTTTTTCTTCAGCTGCATTTGGGGCTCTTCGTTTATTCTTGACCTTCTGGATTTGATTATTAAATGTTTTGAGGTAGTTTTATTTTTATTTTTTGAGATGGAGTTTCGCTTTTGTTGCCCAGGCTGGAGTGCAATGGTGCTATCTCGGCTCACCAAATCCTCTGCCTCCCAGGTTTAAGTGATTCTCCTGCCTCAGCCTCCTGGGACTACAGGCGCACGCCACTGCACCCAGCTAATTTTTTGTATTTTTAGTAGAGATGGGGTTTCACCGTGTTGGCCAGGCTGGTCTTGAACTCCTGACCTCAGGTAATCCACCCACCTCAGCCTCCCAAAGTGCTAGGATTACAGATGTGAGCCACCGCGCCCGGCCTGAGGTAGTTTTATTTATGTTAAATCTGCTTGGTGTTCTATATCCTTCTTGTATTTGAATATTAATATCTTTCAGTAAGTTCAGAAAATTACCAGTTATCTCTTTGGATAAACTTTCTACCCTGATCTCTGTCTCTACATCCTCTTTAAGGCCAATAGCTTTTAGATTAGTTCTTTTGAGGCTATTTTCTAGATTCTGTAAGCATGCCTTGTTATTTTTTATTCTTTTTCTTTTGACTCCTTGCATATTTTCAAACAACCTGTTTTCAAGCTCACTAATTCCTTCTTCTGATTAATTCTGCTATTGAGAGACTCTGAAGAATACTTTAGTCTGTCAATTAAATTTTTCAGCTCCAGAATTTCTCCTTCATTCTTTTTAATTATTTCAGTCTCTTTGTTAAATTTATCTGATAGGAATCTGAATTATTTCTTTGTGTTACCTTGTATTTCATTAAGCTTCCTCAAAACAGCTATTTTGAATTCTTTATCTGAAAGATCATGTATATCTCTGTCACTCTGGAATTGGTCATTAATGCCTTATTTAGTTTTTTTGGTGAAGTCATATTTTCCTGGATGGTCTTGATGCTAGTGGATATTTGTCGATGTCTGGCATTGAAGAGTTAAGTATGTATTCTAATATTTACAGTCTGAGCCTATTTGTACCCATCCTTCTTGAGAAGTCTTTCCAAGTATTCAGAGAAAATTGAGCATCGTGATCTAAGCATTTGGCCACTGCAGCTATATGTGCTTTATGGGGAACCACAAGCCCTGGAACACTGTGACTCTTGCAGAGTTGTAGTTGTGCCATTTTGGTGGTCTTGGATAACACCTAGGAAATTTCCCTGAGTTGCCAGGCAGAGTTTCTTGTTCTCTTCCCCCAAACAAATAGAGTCTCTCTTTTTGTGCTGAGCTGCCTGCAGTTGGGGGAGGCATGATGAAAGCACTCCCATGACCAGCACAGCTGGGACTGTGCTGGGTCACCCCTGAAGCCAAAACAGGTGGTCTCACCCAACAGCTGTGATGACTATTTCCTAGTTAATACTGATGTTTATTCAAGACCCAAGGGCTTTTTAGTCAGCAGGTGATAAATCCTGCCAGGACTGAGTCTTTCTCTTCAGTGCAACAGGTTTCCTTTTGGCCCAGGGTGGGGTCTAAAAATGCCATCCAGTAACTAGAGCCTGGGACCAGGGTCTTTAGGAGTCTGCTTGGTGCTTTATTTTACTGGGACTGAGCTGGTACCCAGGTGGCAAGACAAAGTCATTTTTACTTTTTCTTCTCCTTTCCTCAAGCAGAAGGAGTCTCTGCCTTTGGCCACCATCACCCCTAGGCCTGTGGAGACTCCAGGCTGGCGACCGCTGATGTTTATTCAAAGCACAAGGGCTCATTAGTCCGCAAGTGGTGACTCCTGCCAGGCCTGGGTATCTCCCTTCAGGGCAACAGGTTCCATTCTGGCCCAGGGTGGGTCTAGCAATGCCCTTCAGGAGATAAGACCTGAAATCAGGGACTTTAGGAATCTACTTGGTGCTTTATTTTGCTGTGGCAGAGCGGGGACCCAAGTTGCAAGACGAAGTCCTTTTTACTCTTCCCTCTCCTTTCCTTAAGCAGAAGGAGTCTCTCTCCATGACTACCACAGCTGGGAATGTGTTGGGTCACACCTGAAGCCAACACAATATTGGGTCTTGCCCAAGGCCCATGGCAACTGCTGCCTGGCTACCACTGATGTTCATTGAAGGCCCAAGGGGTCGTTAGTCAGCAGATGGTAAATTCTGCCAGGATTGGGCTCTTCTCGTCAGGGCAATGTGTTTCCTTCAGGCTCAGGGTGAGTCTATGTCAGGAGCTATGGCCTGGAAAGAGGGCTTCAGGACTATGCTTGGTGCTTTATTTTACTGTAGCTGAGCTGGTATCCAAGTTGCAGGACAAAGTCCTCTTTTCTCTTCCCTCTCCTGGAGCTATGAGCTCCACTGCCCGGAGTTGGGAGATGGGTGATGTAAGCACTCCCTGGGCTTCCCCAGATGGTGTTTATCTCACTGGGTCACATGCACCCCAAGTCCACTGATTCTGAGCCCAGCACAGCACCAGGACTTGCCCAGGAATTGTAATCCTTGTGGCCCAGACTGTCTTTCAAGTTGATTTAGGACCCCAGAGAATTTTAGCCTGTGGTGGTAGGGCTAGCTGGAATGCAGACTCCTAACTTCTGGGATAAAAAATTCTCATCTGGGTAGGGATGTTCTAAATGTTCCCTTTATTGGCACCAACTGAGTTCTGCCCTGCGTTGCTTTCTGCTGTGACAGGATAGCACCAAGTTTCAATGCAAAGTCTCACAATTGCTTTGCTCTCCCTCTCCTGAGCACAGAAATTCTCTCTCTGAGCCATGTTGTTCTGCTGAAGCATGAAGGAGGGGTCATGTAGGCGATTCAAGACTGTCTTTCCTACCCTCTAAAGTGCCTCTTTTCTTTATATGATGTTAAAACAAGGTACTGTGATTGCTCATCTGATTTCTTCTTCTTATGTAGGTGATTTCTTGTGTGAATGGTTGTTCAATTTGGTGTTCCTGTTGGGGGAAAATTGCTGGAGGATTCAATTCTGTCCTCTTCCTCCCAGTGAACAAACCTATTTTTATTTTTAAATATCAATACTTACACAGTTGTCCCATGAATATCTAAAACTAAATATATTGAAAACGATTCACCTCTTTGAAATGCAAATTTCCTGGCTCAGTTACCACATGATGCAGTTGACCAAGCTGTAAATTTCAGAGTTATCTTTGACTCCAAAATCCCAACTATCCAGTCAGAGATAACTGATTCTGAATCCAAAACATCTTTGAGGTATGTCTTTATCTCTATTCTCACTGTATAGGATAAACCTTTCCTGTATACGATTGTCTAGTTTATTCCTCACTGTCTTCCTATTTCTCATTCACTATTTTATTTTTATGAGTTGATGCTAAAGTTATATTTTTGAAATTGAAATCTAAGTATAGGACACACTGAGATCTTAGAAATCATCTGTTATATTATTTTTATAAGTTCAGTGATTTTCCAAAGAAAGTGCCCTTGGGCCATGTGGTCTTCCCTGGAGCATGGTGATGGACAATTAAAACTTCAACTTAGGTTGCAGTTTGGACAAGAAATAGGGAAAAATGACCTTAATGCATGTAGATCACAATATATGAGGTGTGCGTCTGAATAAAACCAATCAAATTTGCAATGCTCTTGAGTGAATTTAAGATAACCCATGGGAGTAATATCAAGAGTATGTGATTCAAGTGAGGCATTTCAGGGTAAGAGTTTATGCTTGTATTAGTTTCTTGTTGTTGCTATAACAAATAACCACAAATTATTAGTATAAAACAACACAAATTTATTAACTTACAGTTCTGGAGGTCAGAATCAGATAGACTGGACTAAAATCAAGGTGGTGGAGGGCTGATTCCTTCTGGAGATTTGAGAGTGGAACACATTGCCTCATCTTTTTCAGCTTGTAGGGACTGCCTGTATTCCTAAACTTGTGGCTGATTCTCCACCTTCAAAGCATATCCTCTAATCTCTGTTTCCATCATCACATCCCTTTCTCCTTTTATATAGATACATTTCCTTGTTTCCTTTTTATCTAGACACTTGTGATCACATTTAGGTCCCATTCAGATAATCCAGGATAATTTATCTCAAAATCTTTAATCACTCCTGCAAAGACCCTTTTCCTGAAGAAGGTAATACTCAGGTGCTAGGGATTAGGGCCTGGATAATATGGGAGTCCCATTATTCAGCTTACCACAATGTTCCAGCCCCCAACATAGCTTTCCACATACACAAAATATGTGACTATAAAGAAAAAAACCTGTGTACCCTTTAGTTTTACTAACCTTGCCAAATTACTACTCAATCTTCAAAACTAAGCTGAAGGATCACCTCCTCCATGAGATTTCTTATGCCCTTCACTGCATTACAGACAGACAGTCCCTTCATGTCATCCTATTGAACTTTGTATATATTTCAGTGATATGACTTGCTGGTATATATCTCTTGCTGAACTCTAGGCTTCTTGCTCTTTTTCATCTTTGCAACCTTAACGATGAGCACAATGAATTACCCAAGATACAATAATACAGTAAGATGTAGCAAAGCTTTGCCATAATCAATAAAGAAAAACATAAAGTGATTTCTAGAATTTCACAAACCCTGTAGAGGTATGCAGAACCCAGGTAAGAACTTCTGAATTAAAAGAAGATAAAGCACAGCTGGATGGTTTAATATACTGCTTTTACCAGTAATATTAGATGTCAAAAAATACTTTGAAAAAAAAAAACCTTAACCCAAAAGAGTAAATAACTGTTGATAAATTTTACATGCTATTTTTCTAAGTCATGTTTTACAATTTTCCACCATAAAGAGAAACTAATAACAAAAGCAGCTGAACATTTTTACTTTCTATAAACCTAATATGAAGTTAATCTCGGCTGGGCATGGTGGCTCAAGTCTGTAATGCTAGCACTTCGGAAGGCTGAGGCTGGTGGATCACCTGAGGTCAGGAGTTCGAGACCAGCCTGGCCAACATGGTGAAACCCCATCTCTACTAAAAATACAAAAATTAGGCAGGTGTGGTGGTGGGCACCTGTAATCCCAGCTACGTGGGAGGCTGAGGCAGGAGAATCATTGGAACCTGGCAGGCAGAGGCGGAGGCTGCAGTGAGCTGAAATCACGCCACTGCACTCCAGCCTGGACAACAGAGTGAGACTCCCTCTCAAAAAAAAAAGAGGACGTTAATCTCTTCCTCAAAACCATTTTTATTAGTGTGAAAGTTATTTGTATGTATGAAGGTATTTGTAGGGGTATTTCCCTTAGAGTCACTGTAGTCTCATTTACTATACTTTTCATGCTCACTCTGAAGTCCTCAAAGTTGCATTAATTGACTGAAAGAGTTAAGCACTTGATGTGCTACCAGCAAGGGATATTTATAAAACAAAGATTCTAACTTATTATACACAATTCTTTCTAATCTTTGGTTTGTAGTATTACAAATTATCCATTCACAATATCATTTGTCAACATACTATTATAATAAAGAGACTTGGTAATATATCATACTTTCAAATTATGTCAGTGTTTTAAAGCAAAACAAAAACTTCAGTTGTTTCCACAAACATTTATCATCTTTCTGTTCCTGAATATTTTCTTCATGAATAATGGTTAGATATAAAAGAAACTGTATAATCACACAGGCTTGCATTTTACTTGTATATAATAATTGATAAGAATAGCATAATGTCTTAGATGAGGCATATTTTTTAAACAGTGTTTATTCATTCGCTCGTCATGTTAAATATTGCTAGGAGCTCTATTTCTAACACATCTGTGTAACTAATCAACAGCCGTAAGGCTAAAGCAACTAGTACACAATGTCTCCTCTATTGAAAAGTGGCAAACTCCCTTGTGTTAATGATTAAAAATGTTTTCTCACTTCTTCTGTGAGAGAATAATCTTGATGTCTTGAAAGTTATTAGTCATCTCATTCGGAAAGTAGGATGGAATGAGCACCTAGACACTACATTTTTGTTGTTGTTGGTGGTGGTGTTGTTGTATAAATATTTATCAGGGAATAGTAACAAAAACAACAAAAATTCAAAAAACATAGTCCATACAATTCTAATTTTAAAGTATACCCTATCAGTGCCTAAAATGGAACCAATCAAGATTACATGCTGAAAAAAATATTAACGAAAGAAAATATTTCTCAAATACTAATTGCTTCAAGCTTTTAGCTCAGTTGGAAACAATGGGTGTTAATTAGCTTTTGATCCCCATAAGGGTAAATTAAATTTATACAAAGAAATCTCGGATCCCTAGGCACAGATTACACCCTAATATCTCAGCTGGTGATCCAGTAAATGCATTCAATTGATCACCAAGGGATTCAGTGTGGGAAGTTGGATGCTTATTGTAAATTCATTACTAACAATGTAAAAATAACTTGAAAAGACTTCCAACTCACAGTGGGTAAATCATATCATTTTCATATACAGAAGAACAAGTTGAAGAATATGTTTGGCAAAATACAGCAATCAAAGTAACAGACTTTGCTTCTGAGTAACCACAATAAAAATCATGTATGACAACAGATCAATAGCCTATTCAGAGACCCTACAAAACAAATTTGTTTTCAATTTCAAAAAATATCAAATTACATCTATCGTGAATATTAAATGACTGTTATGAACCTACATTGGAACTTATAGATATGCATGTGCAAGCAAACAGTTACTTTTTAGTTGCGTACAATGTGGATACATAATGATGCATGCTGAGAATATGGGCTTTCTTCACTGAACACAATTAAAATTTCACATGTATGCAAAAGAAAGGAATGAAAAATAAGCAGATAATTGGGGTGAATTAATGAGCACCTTATTAATTTCAATGTACTCTTTTAACCTTAAAATCATTGGGTACTTCAGATTTTTTTTATATTATACTAAAATGTCACTTAAAATCAAGTGCTATTTTTTAAATATAATGATCTGCGTTCTTCTTAGGCATATAACGGTTTTCACCTCAACTGAATAGCTTCTCTTAATCTATAAGAATTTACTCACCAATTAAGTTAAGAAGTTTAATAGCTTCTAACTTTTACTCATGATAGAAAAGTCAAGGTCCTGATTAAGCAAATATGGAGCTGTAATTTGATTCTTCAATTTTCAAAAGAGAAAATAGATTCAGAAAGTTATGTAGCATGCCCCACATGTAACCACCCAACAGGTTCACGTTGCCTGCTGCCTAGACAGAGCTGATTTATCAAGACAGGGGAATTGAAATCGAGAAAAAGTAATTCACACACAACCATCTGTGCGGAAGACTGGAGTTTTATTATTGCTCATATCAGTTTCTCCTATCCAATATCAAAGTCTTTAAAGATCATTTTGTAGTAAGGTCTCCGGAAGTGGGGAGTGCCGATTGGTCAGGTTGGAGATAGAATCATAGGGAGTCGAAGTAAGATTTTCTTGCTGTTTTCTGTTCCTGGGTGGGATCACGGAACTGGTTGAGACAGATTACTGTTCTGGGTGATGTTAGCTGATTCATGGAGTGCAGGGTCTGCAAAAGACCTCATGCACTGATCTTAGGCTTTATAATAGTGATGTTATCCCCAGGAGCAATTTGGGGAGATTCAGACTCCTGCAGCCAGAGGCTGCATGACCCCTAGATTTCTAATCTTGTGGTTAATTTCTTTGTCCTACAAAGGTAGACTGGTCCCGAGGCAAGAAGTGGGTCTTTTTGGGAAAGGGCTATTATCAATTTCATTTCAGAGTCAAACCATAAACTAAACTCCTTCACTAGGTTAGTTTGACATACACCCAGGAATTAACAAGGGCAGCTTAAAGGTTAGAAGCAAGATGGAGTTGGTTAGGTCTGATCTCTTTCACTGTCATAATTTCCTCAGTTATAATTTTTGCAAAAGCGGTTTCACAAATACTCAGTTATTAGGTGAAGGCGAGATTCAATCAATGAGTGACCATAACAAATTTTTTTTTCTAGTATACCTATCTGCCTTCTAAAGGGCCTTCTTGTCCCTGTATCTCTCCTCCTCTCTCTCTAGCATTGAGGCAAGCAGTTATCCATGTGGGTTCTGCGTGAGGCATAAAGATCTAGGTAGAATCCCATATCCATTGCTCAGCAGCTGTGTGACTTTGAAGAAGTTACTTATTTCCCTCAGTTTTGTTATGAGCCAAATAGAAATGGTAATAATGGTTATCTCACAGAGTTGTGGGAAGGATTAAAATTACATAGTTCCTGTAAAGTATGTAGCACAGTGGCTATCACATATTAAGTACATGATAATGCTAGCTGTAGCTATCATGTAAGTAGGCAATAATGCTAGCTGTAACTATAAACACCCGTGTGAGTTTGGGCAAATTATTTTACCTCTCTCTAGACTTTGATGTCCTCATTAATAAACAAAATTAGAGTAATGTTCTCTTCCATAAGCCTATTACTTTTGCTGTAAAAATAATAGCAAGCAATAACGTAATTATAATTAAGTAAATTAACATTTTAACAATTCTTCATGGAACTATATTCAGTACAAAACAATCAGTTTTGTGTCCCCAACTAAGGGGCTGATTCTTACATTTCAAAATGAACTTAGCCATTGAAAAGAACATTGGAGAAGAAAGCAGCTGAGGTATTTCTGTAAGTATTACATAATATATTCTGTAAGAGAAATAAGACCTTAGTATGCAATTATTTTAAAGGCTATGTGTGATTAATAGAGTTGTACGTACTAGAGAGAAGCCCTATTCCTATCCTAGAGACTCATAAAATATTTGATGAGAAAAAAACATATACAATATGCAGAATATTATAACAATGATTAGTTAATCAATGAATTGATGGTATTAATTACTCAATATATGAAGTCTTTGCCTTGTGATCACTCTGTCCCACCCACATTGCAAAGATGCTTTCCTAGAAGATGCTGAACAAGCTCCTGCAGTAAGGCCTTTGAATGTGGAATTCTCTGCTTGATTAAGTCTTGCTCCCTATTTTCTACAAGTCTTTGCTGAAAATAAAGCTCTCAAAGTTCTTCTCTGATTAACATACGTAAACTTCTTCCCCAATGAGGTACTCCCTTATCCCCTTTTTCTTTCAACACCTTGATCTCCTTAAGAATATTTTTAAAATCTGTACCTCTTGTCACTGTTTAACATATCATGTATTTTACTTATTTATTGTGTTTATTGCCTCTTTCCTTCTCTTGAAATGTAATTTTTTAAAGATTTTTTCTGTCTTTTATTTCCACTGCAATAAACCAGTGCTTAGAACATTGCCTATCTTATAATAAATAGGCACCCAGTAAATATGTTAGAAGAGTAAATAAAATAGCTCCAAAATATTGCAAAATAAATAAAAATAAAAAGAGGCAGTAGTTATCACCAAGCAGTGTTACTAGAAAGCTGTGGTATAAACATGGAAGAAAAATATACTCTTAACTTTATTTACTTTTCTACTTTTTGAATCAACAAATTCAATTGCATGCATTCATATTCAAAAGTAAATATTTTAGAAAAAAGGGTGTCTCGCAGAAACTCTAAATATTGGATATAATTAAGAGAAATAAGTTGGCTGACCTCAGATTAATCTTCCACCTATCTTTAAATCACCACCAGATTTTTCTAAATGTTTATAACACAAGTAATTTTATTTCCTTTATTTTTATGGTTTTTATATTTTTGTGAGTGGCTGTTTCTCAAATAATAAACATAAAGAAAATTGTTTATTTTAACTCTTTTGGGTTCTTGAAAAAATCAATTCCTGTGAAATTCCATCTGCGTGTTTTGGCAGACTTTTTGATATCAACATTTTACTTTTTATTCCCCAAGAGAGTTGGGAAAATGAGCTTTTGTTCACACCTACATTTTTTTCTCAAGATAAGTTTTCCCTTATACCAAAAAAAATCTCTTTCAATTACATCCAGGCCACAAGATACAAGAAATAGCAAGTTCATGCCAAAGGTATCAAAAGTACATTGCAGTGGGAACTTAAAAGTCTTTTTCTGAATCCCTGTGAAGTGGCACTATGCAGGTGATACTAGCCATATGCAGCTATTTAAATTAAAACCCAATAAAATAAAAGATCAAGTTTTAGTTGTACTAGCCACATTCCAAATATTCAATAGCCACATGTGGCAGATGACTACCATATTGGAGAGTATATCACTACAGCACTGCAAGAATGGTTTTCCTGTCCTACCTGAGGCTATGGCAAGAAAAGAAGATTAGAAATCTAGAAAATATAAATATGTAAACACATATGGAATTGGCTTTTTCAAAGCAAGAAGTAATCTTTTTAACTGCATCCTGGCCATTCTTTGGTCAAATACTAGAGGATAAAACGCTGATAAGAGCCTCCAGTAGAGTGCTTGCACACATTGTACTTCCTAGGTTTTCAATAAATACATGCTGAAAGAATTAACTGATTATTATTTTATGACGGTTTTTCATGTGCAAAACACTGTTTAAGACCTTTGCAAGAATACACACACACACACACATACACACACACACATCCTCCCAGAAATTATGACTTTAAAGCAATTATTTTATTCTCTGTTTTTGAGTCATGTTAATTAAAATTTGTAGAAGGCCATTGTTTTGGACTGAGCTCCTGCACTAGATCCCAATAGACCAAACTAAAGCAGAGCGAACTGAACTGTAAGGAAGTAGGAAAATCCTCGGACAGACAAGTTTTTGTCTGAAAACAGGAGCTTCAACAACCAATTGGAAAGAACTCAGTCAACTTCTGCTGAAATAATAAGGAAGTCACTGCTTTAACTCTTACGAGTAAAATAACATGAAGTACCTGGTATTAACCAATTTGCTCTTTTGACTTTCTTGTTCCTACCTTACGAAACCCAACTGTTCGCCTATGTCCAACATAGCACCTCTCTATTTTTATATGAGATGCTACCTGATTCACGAATCTCAACTAAAAATCAATAAGATCAATGAACTAAATTTGTCATACTTTGGTTTTTGGATAGTCATCACTTGGAAAAAATATTGAGTCAGAATTGTCTGACTCAATTTCACTACATAACTATTTAAAATGAAGAGAAAATTCTACTGTTGGTTTTAATTCAGGGCACAGGAACATAAGCACACCAAATTTTTTTGGTCATACCAAATTCTTTCATTTCTTCATATATGTCTTCCTAGCAGGCTTTGTGCCTGCCCTAAATCTTCTCAGATACTTCACTCTTATTCCTTCTTTAGAATTTAAATCAATTGCCATCCTTCTAGGTAAGCAAGTATCTCCTGGCCTTCTCAGCTCTATGAGACTCATTTAAAATTATTTCATAGCATTGTGTACTTTGCCTTTACATTTGAGTTTGCACTTAAAAATTTAATTTTGTTGTTTGACAAAAAGCCTACTTTTTTTCACTAGAAAATGGGCTTCAGGAAGGCTTGGACTATGACTATTTTTGCTCACCAATGTATTTCCAATAATTGGTAGAAGGTTTACATACAGAACACTATAAAAAAAAAAAGAATGAAAAAATGAATGCTACCCCCACCCCTTCATGACAGCCATCTCTTTCTACACTCCTGGTTTACTGAAATTTACTTAGGCTGTAGTAATAATTCAAGTGTGTGGGTGGCAAAAGAGACTCATTTTGGATCATTGCCTTAAATGCTTCCTTTCTCACAGCAGATTTCAATCTCCTCCTGTTTAAAGATTAATACCACACTGTCAACATAGTGTAGTGGAAAGTATAAAACTGTAGAAATCAGAATACTTCTGTTCTCCCTTATGTTATTTACCTGCTTCATGACCCTAGGAACTGAGCTTCTGTTTTCTAATCTGTGAAATGGGAATAGAACCACCTGTCTTACTTCACTCATACTTAAATAGTTTGTGTAAGGGTCATATAATACAACTGTGTAAAAATATTTTTTGATATCCAAATTATTATACAGAACTAGAGAAGACACTGAAGCTTCTGAGTGATATAATTCTTATGTTTTCCTCACTCTCTGCCAAATTTAATTTTTCCTCTTCAGTGACTTTCTTTTTATCTGCCTTCAAACACGGAGAACTCTCCTTCACCTCTCTTGCTGTATTTGGTTCTCCATCTGTCTATCATCCCATTACTGTTCTCTCTTTTACTGCCAACTTTTTGCTTTATTTTCTCATCAGATGAGTTATCTGTAAAATCCTATAGTCTTGCCCCTTTCCTTATCACTTTACCAAATCCGTACTTAAATGGCCTTTTTCATGCCATATGCTATAGCCATTTTATTATGTTGGTACTAACTAAAGCCGAATTCATGCATTCAGTAGCTTCTCCCAATTGCTGAACATATAATGACAGTGCTTATACAGTTAATCTACAGTCTAATCTCAGTATTGTTTCTAAGTTTCTATTTAAAATCCACATTAAAATAATTAGTTTTTTTGTGTATAAAATGATGTACACTAACATTTGACAATAAATTATGAAGTAAATGATTAGCGCACTTTGAGATAGCTCTTGAGTCACCGGAATGATTTAAGTGAATTGCTAGTTTTGTTTTTTTTGTAATAGGAAAAAAGCCACCGCCACCATCACTACAAAGAATAACAAAAGCTGATCAAAAACTAAGTCTTAAAATCAATATAAATCAATATAAAATCAACATGGTCTATTACTCCCCTAAGCAAACTTGCCTCTTCTATAGATGGGTTGCTAAATATAATATGATACCTATTCAATTGATGAATATATATGCATATATATATAATTTTTTTCTTAGAAATAGATTTTGTGGGGGGGGGGGCGGTAGCCACAGCACTACTTTTGTGGTCTTTAAGCAAGTCAGTCGCTTATTAAAAACAATATTTTTTGACCTCCTAATGTATAACAGTCACTGTTAAAAATGTTTATATCCACTGATGGAGTAAAAGGCACAAGTCTATCTTCTTACAGTTTATCTGCTTAGAGAGATAATAAACAAGAAAATATACCCATAAAATTTAACATAAATATTCATATAAAAATTCATGGTAGTTGCTACAAAGAATACACACAAAATGCAATGATAAAAAATATCATGGGTTAGGTACCCACTAGAATCATATAAGTGGGATATTAACAAGGAGGCTCCTGGAGGAGACCAGACATAAGACGGTGGTCATGTGTTCAAGAAAGAGGCCAGTAAAATTGGGGAGTAACTGGCCTATTTGAAATATAGTTAGGAAGCAGAAACAATGGGTCTTACAGAAAGAGTAGGAATATGGGGTAAAGGAAAGGTAAGAATTAAGGATAGAATAGACGTTGCTTAAAAGAAGACATTCAAATAGCCAACAGGTATATGAAAAATTCTCAACTCCTCTAATGATCAGAGAAATGCAAATTTCCACAATGAGATGAGAAGTCAAATAAGATGAAGACTGAAACATGGTCACTGGATTTGTTTACCTGAAAATAGTTTGTGTAATAAACAACAACAGCAACAACCCCCCACACCCCCCATCTATTTGAATGGTTGAAGCAAATGTTAGATTGTAATGGGATTTTGTGTAAATGCTGAGTGCAAAAAAAAAAAAAAAAAAATCCCTAAAACCAAAGCCAAACAAAGCCAAACAAAAAAAATAAACAGCATGCATAGACAAATTTACAAGTCTGTGAAAAGTTTGTGAAGATGAGTAAATTAAAGAAGATCTTTAAAGAAATCTTTTTTGAAAGTGATGCAATTTCACATATTTCTACCCCAAGAGTGGCACAAAGTAATTAGGATAATTTTAGGTGGGAAATATTTCAACAATTATATACCTCATAGGGAAATATTTCTGTAATATTAAAAGACTTTCATGGGGAGAAAATAAATATGGTTAATTATTATCCAATTAGCCCGAAGTATTTTCGTGGGAAAAACAATATATGTGTAAAATAATTCATTTATATGTAGGTCCTTAATATCAATTACAAAAGTGTAATACTGTATACTTTATTTACATAATCAAACTATCAGCATTATTGTTTTTCATGAAAAAATAAAACTTCAGACCTTTAAAATCTTAATTCATTAAGAGGAACTTGGCTTCTTCTCAGTTTTCTGTCATCCTTAACATTAGAGAATATGGTTCTGCCACACAATTGCTTCCTTGGTAACCAGGATAGAATATCAGGGCTAATTTATGATAGGACAAAAATAAAGTAAGTTGTTTTAATATTCAAATGGTGATCGTCATTTGCTCTACTATGTATTTAAATTCTTTCTGCTGTAATTCAGCCTATTTCTTTCTCTCCTAACATGGTTAAAAATATCGTTTCTAGTCATCAAACCCATGGTTAAAGGCTTAGGCAGGATAACTTTTGCTGCATTTCAGATCTTCAAAGCAGGGCCTCTGTCTCTTTGAGATGCATATTAATTAGAGAGACTAAACGTTGTTACTTTAAAATGCTCTAAGACTCTTTATCCTCAAAATTAGATTCCCTTGCCACCTCTTCCATGCTCCTTCCATGGCAGTCCAAGGAAATACAACTTACAACTTTTTCTATCATAATATAAGGCATTGACTTGTTGCACTTCATATCAGAATAGACTTTCTGAACATAGAAACTTTACTTTTGCTATTTAGCCCCTAAAATCAACGATTTTGAAGTGGGTGCAGCCTGGAAATGTTACTCAGCTACACCTGTTAATGGCGGTCTTTCTGTTCTATGGAATAAATAAATCCTCTTTCTTAGCATACTCACAGCCTTCTTAGGTGAAGACAACATTTTTCCAATTATTTCCTTTTTCATGACTGACCATTATTTTTCAGATTTTTCTGTATTCTCTTTCAGCCTGAAATCTGACTTTGTTTAGTTAAATCGGAATCTTGAGGGGCAAGATCCAGTCTTTGGCATTTTTGAAAATTCCTGAAGTAATTCCATTTTGGGAACCTCTGGTTAAGGTCATTTTTGATAATTATAACCTCTTTAAGTAATATTGATTGAATATGCCATGTATAAAACATATTTTCACAATGAACCTAAAATATAAGATATTATTAAATACATTTTGCTATTATAGAAATGCAATTAGAAGTTAAATGCTTGAAAAAACCACCAAATATTGGTTGAACAGAGATCAGACCCTATCCCAGCTGTGGTTCCCAAGCCTGCACACTCTCCATCCTTCCAGCTGCCCTGTGGCAGGAGCATGAAACTGTTTGCATGTCGTCTTATCTTTAAAATCAAGTTTTCTCAGATCTCAATGTCTTGTCAACTTTATGCGCCTACACCCACACAGCCTCCCATTCATTTACTTTTCAGAATTTGACTCCACATCACCATCTCCAAAACCTCCTATTACTTATTAGACTGAGTAAAGTACACTCATGTAACAACTTGTCCTTTAGACTTATCATTTTAAGTTATAAAAATGCTGATTGACTTATCTCTCTACCTCAGCTAGCTGTGAGATTCTTAAGAGTATAAGGGGGTTACATTCGTTTCTGGATCTCCAGGGAGTAACAATCAATGAATATTTATCAAATGAACAGCAGTGTGGCAAAGCCACTGTCTCAAATTTAGAGGCAGAGGCATTCTAAAATCTTTCATTTCTTGAACATTTTTCTTTTATAAATCCGTGTAAAAATTATGTAAGTATATAATTAATGAGGGTTTAAACATGTGTGTGTTTGTACATGTGCATTTTCTGGGCTTCTAAAACATCTTGCAATCACTAGATTTTGCTAGATCATAAGGAGTGAAAGCATAGTCCTGATTCTATTAGCTAGATTCTTGCTGCCCAGGAGTGCAAAATTGGGTCACTGCAAGAGGTTTGTGACCTATTTCAATGTAGCAAATTTAGAGTGCTCTATTCTAATACACATTCGGCCAGCACAGGTATCTATTTATCACACTTGGTAATAATATAGAGCTTTGTTTATAGATAGTTATTTTGCAACGTACATTTCCATAAAGATTTGCCCTTAGTGGATCAGTTTCCTGCAAACAGACACTGTGAAAACCTTGCTGATGTACATCAACTTGTAAACATTCTTCTCCTGCCCATTCTTTTTCCAGCCCTTTATGAGTCTGATACTAGCAACCCCTTTTAAGCAGTGTCAGATTGCATGTTGACTCTGTGATGCTCAATCAAAGAAGCATTAACACATTTATTTTCCTTTCTACTCTGATGTTCTACCATTGGAACCTAAGTCTCTAGAGATGAGGTATATTCCATCTTTTCCTTCTCTTTTGATTAGGGTGATAGGCAATACATAAGATACAAATCCTTGCTAGCCAGTGCAGCTTCTAAAATGCCTCCCATATTAAATTATCAGATAAACCAATAGCTTTCTATCCTCAAGAAGTAAAGGTTTGAACCTTAACATGCAGCTTGCAGGCCACTCAACAAAGTCATTATATAATAGATTTCACTCAAATAGAATTGCTTCCAGAACCCAAGCTGCTAGTTAGCAGATATAATACTCAGCATCCCTCAAGAATATGCTTCAATCAAAACAATGTTAAAAATGAGCGAAGTAAATGAAGATATATTTTATCATTGGGCAGTATCAAAACAAATGGGGGAGCTACTGCTCATTGTGCAATTCATGAGACTGATGCCTTAACTGTTGATTTCCTACTCACTGTCATTGTAAGACGGCATTTTATTTTTGCCTATGTCATAAATCCGACTTTAAACAGTGTAAGAAGCTTTTAGCAAGAAAATTTTACATCTGTTTATGCCTGAAATTAAAACCACCAGAATTGAAAGGAAGAAAAAATAACCAAGGGGGTTTTCAAAAATTTAAAACTCCATCATGCATAAATGGAGCTCATCAAAGAAAGTAATTTCCCTGCAGAAAACACTCCATCTTTTGTTTTATGTAAGTTATCAGCATGAATATTTTATTCTCAATGAAACTGCCTTTTCCCCTTTGTGTTTCAAAGTTTTCACATGGTGTCTCAAATAAATAGGCTTCCTTCCTTCCAGCCCACTCTATTAGCCAGGTCAGTTGCGATAAAATATCTTCCTTGCTTACTGTAAGTAGTAATTATAGATTAAGCTTTACTAATTCAGTATTTTTTATTCTTAGTATTGTTATGTTTTGGAAACTAGAAACACTGACCACTTGAATTTTCCTGCAGTAACAGAAAATCATTTGTTTTTTCCAGATTGGAGCACATTATCTAGTGTACCTATCAAATTGGAAAGTATATCTTAGTTTATTTTCATTCTTGATCCAAACTATGGCATAACGCCTCCATGGAATGACAACTCTAGTTGTGCAATTTACTGCAGCCAGTCCAATCAGCCTAACTGGACGCTATAATCATTGAGTCTCATTTGCCTAGTACTGCACTTTAATGGATGGTTTTTCTGCCTCCTCACCTACTGACTTAACATTCAAGTCACTTACTGTTTCTGCTTGCTCTGACTATACCTGGGGTAACTACATCGTGGTGTATGCAACATCAATTTTTTTATTTGTAGATATATCAAAATAATATTTTATTGTTGTTTACATTAAAGTTTCCAGTCAGAATTAAAATGTACTGATAACCATTGACTGAAAAACTAAAGCAAAGATAGCTATTATTCCTATCATCTGTGAGTCTAAGAGATAAAATTAAAAAATTAATTTTAACCCAGAATGAAAATATGTTTATAATTTTAAGCTTTTGAATGGTAATATATAAGTTCGCTCCCTATGTTTTCAGATACTCAGCTAAATAAGAAGTTGTTGGTTAGGTTGAAATTCCTATAGTTCAACTTAGAAATAATCTTACTTATAAAAGTTTCAAGTTATCAAGCCCTCATAATTTATAAGCAGAAATGTTTTTCACATTGGCGATAATTTCCTTATATACCAGACCATAACATTCAAATCTTCACACAACCATTTAACATCTCAATTGCATAACTGAAGAGAGTATTCATAATTTATTTGATATTAAAAATTACTCTGATTATAGTGGATGCTGGTAGAACCCAAGCTGAATATTTGCAAAGTAATTCTTTTCAAAGGAGAATAATGAAAACGGAAAGCACTATGCATTCTTTAACTTCTGCATAACTTTATATAGCTTGCATCTTATAGCCATCTAACCAAAAAATGAAACACTGAAAAATAATAAATAGGCAAACATCAGTCATATTTGTTCTTGCTAGATTAGCTTACTCTTAAATAAAGCCCTATAAACAGGGCAAATAGTCAATGATCATAAACTATGTCAAGGCTGAGTTTTTGACAAATATGACTTTCAGCTTCCTTCAGTCTCTGGTTTCAGTATAGCATTGCCCTTTAAAAATGCAACCATAAATCAGTAGCATTACTTCACTGTAATGTAAAAAATGACAAAAACTATAGCATAACTCACATAAATAGAATGTTATGCTAATACTCAAATCCCTCACTCAAGGCAATAGAATTTAATTTTGAAGTAAGGCAGTCATTCATCCTTTCCATTAAGTACATTCCAAAAAAAAAAAAAAAGTGATTAAGGCATATTGTCCCTATTTTATCCTGATGATCTACCATTATAAATATTTTTCACCACCTCTTAGCTCTATCATTCACAATATAAATATAACAGCAGCTACTGTGAAGACATAATTTCACAAGTAACTAGATTTTTTCCTAATGTTATATTTAGGGCTATTCAATAAATTATAACTATGAAACCCCATCTTTACTCAATCCTTAAATGTAAGTTATACATTGGAGACATTTCAATTTAATTTTTCTTAGTAACATCTACCATGTGGTTTCTTTTAAGGATAAGAGCAGTGATTTATTAAAATGTTTAAAGCAGAATAAAAATTTAAGAGCTTTATAAAATTTGCTTTTGAATCATTAAAGACAGTTCAAATTAGTTATAAGGTGTATCATCTATAACGGGTTTTACTAAGAGAAAATGGTTTGGAAAGCTAAGGTATTCTCACCAAAAAATGAAAACATCTTAAAACTATGGGAGAAATAGTATTCCTTATCAACATTTGCTTCATTAGGATGACTTAAATTTCAGCAAATACATTTTAAATGATACAATTTAATCAGACATAAGGGGTTATAAAATCATCTAATAAGTTTAGCTTAATTCTTAGTTGGGCTACTAATAAGTACTCATGCAAGTCTGGCTATGAATAAAGTACTCAAGCATAATAGGTCAATAAAATTAAATGTAAGCAAAACATTTTTATTTGAAAATCTCCATAGCTGTCTTTAGTCTTCAGACATGTATATTTATTGGGTTCCAAACAGATTAAACAATTTTTAAAAAACATAAAAATGTGCTATTCCCTGTGATCAATTGTTTCTAAGTAGATTTAAGTTTGGGAAATTCAAAACTAAGCTCAGATGCAATAATTAACATTTTTTGTGTTATTTGTAGTTTAGCTATAGCTCCTCACTCTCATATTCATTACTTTTAAATTTATCATCCTTTAAATATGAACTTTAATTTATATATTTTAAAGAAATATTTAACTTCAGCATCCACCAAAGGATATATATAAACTTTACCATATAAACATAGCTTTAGCACTCATATCTCTTATAAATTTTTTCAAATATTTAATGTTTCACAAAATACAAATATTTTTTCTCATGCAAATTCAAGTGTACCACCAAACAAATGTTAGAATATTCATAAAATTTGCATTATATTTGTTTATATACAATAGTACAAAAAATGAAGAAGTGAGGCAACTGTTAAAGTAATTAACAGTTTGGCCTAAAGTAATTTAGGCCAAAACACACATACTTTCATTTAAAATAAGTGTCAGATTTGAAAAATTTCGGTTTAGTTATTTTTTTTTTAATTCTGCATGGAAGGTGTGCAGAGTGTTCTAAAATAACTAAAGAAAAATAATCACAAAGACTTTTGAAAACATAACCTATAAAAGTTTAAATTAGCACAATTTGCAACAGATTATTATAATTGATAATGTGCAATTATTACTTGTGATAAATAGGAGGCTGTTGCTCTCCCATTAAGGGTTTATATTTTACAAGAAAATAGTATTAAAAAAGATGAGGCCAACAGTAATTAAAAGTGATATTATTGACATAATGATGAAGTATCAGGAGCCAACATTAATAGTTTATATCTATATTGACCTACAATTAAGCATGGATATTTGCTAAGTACATTTTAACATTTAATGAACTGTTCTACACCTAAATTTCTGTAGATTTCATCATGACTTTCTACGCCAATTGCTGATATCTTACTCTATTTCTATGTGTGTTGCCTTATAGTTGAAGTATTACATTGTTTTAATCAGGTCTTTTTTGTTAAAGATAGGATAATTGTTGGAAAGAACTAAGAATTCTGAGTGAATAAGGCCTAAAACTCATTGTAAGTGGAAATATAGAATAAATACGTTTTTGTCAGTGCTAGAACAAGCTGTCACTGACATTCTCCTTGCATAAAAGATAGCGTGAAGAATCACTAGTTTTTTGTTTGTTTGTTTGTTTGTTGGTTGGTTGGTTGGTTGTTTTTGAGACTGAGTCTTACTCTGTCACCCAGACTGGAGTGCAGTGGCATGAGCTCAGCTCACTGCAACCTCCGCCTCCCGGGTTCAAGCAATTCTCCTGCCTCAGCCTCTGGAGTAGCTGGGATTGCAGGCTCCCACCATCGTGCCCAGCTAATTTTTTGTATTTTTAGTAGAGACGGGGTTTCACCGTGTTAGCCAGGATGGTCTCAAACTTCTGGCCTCATGATTTGCCCACCTCGGCCTCCCAAAATATGGGGATTACAGGCGTGAGCCACCGTGCCTGGCCGGAATCACGAGATTTTTATATTCTGTGTCACCAGCCCTGGTAGACCCAGTATTGGGCCTATGCAAAAATGAATAAGCCAACTAAGTATATAACTTTACTTTGGGGAAAATGTCTAGAAATATTCCACATATCCACCACAACTAGTTACCAAATCTTTTTAATTCAACTGGAATTAAATTAGTAATTTCATTGAAAGCATCACTTTGACAGAGCCAGTAAACTAGAAGTCATTGCCTCATTTGCAGAGTAAGCCGAAAAACCCATAAAAACTAAAAATGAAACAACAAGTACATTTATCTCATGGAAAAAATAAGAATTGATGATTTAGTAGAGTAAGTATCTTCTCTATTTTTTTTTCCATCTGATGGGTTATCAGATTAATCACTGTTAGCTTAGAAACATGAAAAGCAAAACCTAGAAAGACTGAGATATAGAAAGAAAAAAGATAGTGAAGAAGATGATTCCCAGAAGATACCAGGATAGAGATCAGATGTGGTAGAAGCAGGTTATATACCCTCTTTAATTCTGAAAACGATGCCACACCTAAGGAAGAGAGTCACCCTGTTAATGATGATAAAAATTAATATTTTGGCACAATGATTTTAAACAATTGTCTCTGGAACCTCTGCCATCACTGTCACAGACACTGTTATCAAATAAATTAATTTTCAAATGAATGTAACCAACATTGAATACATACATACTTTAAGTAGATTGGCACCTATTACATCAACAAAACTAAGTCATGCTATAATATTTGATAGTATGATTCTTATCTTAATTCAATTATCAATTCAGATTTAATATAAGAATTTCTTGCAAGATGCTTAATAAAAATATTTTAAGAGACATTCACGGTTGGGCATGGTGGCTCATGTGTGTAAATCCAGCACTGTGGGAGGCCTAGGTCAGTGCGTCACTTGAACCCAGGAGTTTGAGACCAGCCTGGGCAACATGGTGAGACCACGTCTTCACTAAAAATATAAAAATTAGCCTGGCATGGTGGTACATGCCTGTAGTCCCAGCTACTTGGGAGGCTGAGGTGGGAGGATCACCTGAGCACAGGAAGTCAAGGCTGCAGTGAGCCAAGATTGCACCAGTGTACTCCAGCCTGGACAACTGGAGTGACATCCTGTCTCAAAAAAAAATCACAAATATTTGCTGTTTTTGACCTTTCTTTCAGGAAAACAGGAAGAGAACAGGTAAGAGTCTCTGCAGCTCAAGCCTCTGCAGCTACACTGTTGGGAAAAAATGGAAAAGGAAATCTGATAGTGGTAATGAAAGATACAGTCAGGGAAAGGATGTACCAAAAAAGTAAGAGCAGTGCTGAAGCATAACAACAAATAACATCAACCAGGACCTGTTTCATGGGCAGAGACCTACGCATTGCACAAGGCCTCACACTTACAAAGGTTCCACACTTGGTTCTGCTGCTGCCATCATGAAATTATGAATAATTTTTGAACAAAGAGTCGATATTTTTATTTTTCACTCAGCCCCAGTCCTAGAACTGGCTTAAGTAAAATGTGTTTCCTAAGCAAAGAGAACAGGCAAGTTGAGAAGTCAAGAAGAGCTCAGAAACCACAACAGGAAGCCTTCCAGAAAGGGAAGAAGGCTATTTAGAGATCAAGGCACAAAGACGGGGGTTGGTTCATGGTATTTGCCGAAAATGGTTGTTCTGAAGATTAAAATTTTAGATAAGTGCCAGGATTCATGGATAGGAATATGAACAGAAACTATCAATAGGAAATATGTAGGTGAAGAGATGATTATTGGTACTCCTCAAAATTTTAAGGGAGATTTTTAAAGAAGTGTCATTTCAAAGAATAACAGGTGCAACACATGGCAGTAATACTAATTACAGAGTAACACTAATTAACAGAAGCACACCATTTCAATGAGCAAATAATGTTTTATCAAATATAATGAAAGTATACCCAGTTGTTTGATAGATTTTTGGCATTTAACATTCAGAATGGAGCCTCGGAATAGATAGAGTCTACTTTAAAATTTCAAGGGGAGTTCCAAGGTAGTGTCTTCAGTTTTTCTTTGACTTTGTGTAAATCAAACATGACTATAAGATTTTAGTAATTTCTTTGAAAATAGAATTCTTACTTACATTCTATGTTAATATATGCTTTTTATTTCTGATAAGCTTTTATAAAAATTCTATAGAGGATCATCTCAAAAAATAATAGTTCTTGCAGCATCTCCCATTTTCACAAAAACATTTCTATGTAAACTTCTCTACTTGGAGATTTATTTATGGGAAACAAAAAGTAGACTAACACATGTCAAAATTATGTTTATGAACAATTTTTGTCTTAAAATTACTCAGTGCTGTAGTCTAAAAGAATTTTCTGTCAAGTATCAGAACATGTTGGAAATGAAGATGATTATAATTTTATTCTAAACAATAAATAGACTGACATTACATTAAGGCAAAGTGCCAATGTAATAGAGGCTAATATAGTTGTATCAGAAAAGAAATTTCATTTACAAATACATAATATACAGGCTAAACCTCCGGTTCGATAAAAACCTAAGGGAAAAAAATGAGGTAGCATAAGAAATAACCCCACATGTTAAACCTAATGATCGACCTGTTTGCATGAATGTATGTGTTGGTTAATTGTTAAATATGAAAATCCTACAGAAGATGTAACACTTCCTATTTTGCTTCATCCTTGTCCAAAATATACAACCTGGTTTACCAGTAAAAATAACTGGTAAAAATAAGACAGAAATCCAAGTAATCATTTATTTTGTTACTCTCTACCAAAAGTGCAATTACTAATGGCAAATTGAATAAATTATTTTCTCACTAAAAATATTGTGTTCTGGATCGATGGGTGGACGGATGGTAGGCCTGTAAGAGCAAGGAACCTCCTTGAAGGCCACAGGTTTTGAAACTGAACACATACTTGAAATGTACCTGGAACATCCTCAATTCCTGCTTTATGTTGGAAATCTATATATCATCTCCAAGTCTCAGATTTCATACCTATAAAACAGGGTTCATAAGCTCAGATTATTGCAAGAAATAAGATTACCTGGAACATAATAAATGTTGAATAAAAATAAATCTACATTGGCTTATAAATATAAATCTACATTGGGTCTGATTGCAACAGACCCCATACCTGAAATGGAATTTTATAAGAAAAAATCTAAATGATGGCATTTAAAAATCTAGAATTAATTTCAATTTGATATGTGAAGAAATATAGGGTTATGAAAGAAGTAGAATATCCAGGAGAAATAGTCTGATTTTATATGAATATTTGAATTATTCTAAAGTAAGTGAAAACTGGGATACTTTAGACAAAATTTTAGACATAAGTAAACTCCACATGTTTCGACTTAGATAAATAATCACAAATAACTATGATGGCTAGAGCTTGTGTTCATTTCCCCATGCAAAATCAGAATAGTCCTTGCCCTTATCTCTGTCATAAGAATATTATCATAAAACATGCTTGAAAGCACTTTGAACTATTTGAAAGGTTAGACACATGTGTTTGTGTACATAAGCTCCTCTTCCTCCTGAGGGGCTATGGTATTATTTGGATTATTTCTTCAAGTGGTGTTCCGGGATGGGCTCTCTTGGACTCTTTACCATCACTCTAATAACTTTGTTGCTGAAAATTACTTCTTGTGTCTGGTTCTCCAGCAGTAATGATTAAATAGCTCACATAATTCAGAATCATGAATTCCAATGTTTTATTTGGACTCTATCCATGCACAGAAACTTAAATGAGTGGGACCAAAAATATCTTTATTTATACTATAATAAATTGCTTTACCCAGTAAGGTCAAATTACTCTCCTTGTGGCATTACCTTGAATACACTTAAAGAATTAAATAAATCACAGATGACCTTTTTTTTTTCCTTTCCTCCACTTATCTGATTAAAGTCACACCTCATTTAAAAAAAATCATACTTTGGAAGTTTTATGAACTCATCTGAGTATGTCAAATACAGATTTTGCCAAAGTCAAAAGACCCTTGTTAACAAGCATGGAAGTCTAGGATATTGATGATGACTTCAACAAGCAGTAATCAAATTCCAACAGAGTATAAAACAATGTAAACTCTCTTGATGTTAAAATCCCTGAAATGCCTCCCTTCCTCTTGATTTGGACCATGTTATAAGACCAAAATTTTCTTTTTAAGGCACTGAAAGCTCTTAGGTGCTTTACAATGGGGTATATAAAAGTATCATTTCCTCAAATACATAAGAAATAATTCAGATGATCACAAACACTAGCAACTTTTCTTTTATTATAGCCATGATAACCAGATCATTGTCTCAAAAGAATTGCAATGACATTCATTTTTTTGCATGGTTTTTGTTCCAGAAAATAGTATCCAGAGAAATCCCTGGTATTATTTGCCATCATCTTGACATATTACTACTTCTACACATAGAAATATTTGCATCATTGACATATACCTCCATAGACTTGCTAGCTTATTTCGTTTGACATTGTAACATCATATCCATGGGTTTATATTATAAGAATCTCATGAGAATGTCAATGACATAAAATTCCATTATGTTGGAGGGCAATTAGTGATTTTAGAAAAATATTGTGAAAAATGACTGGATATTTCATTTCTGGGAAACTTGCTTTATTAAAATGAAAAGGCTCATTATTTAAACTAATTTCTATATGATTTTCTCTTTTAAAAATATTGTATTTTCATGTTAAAAGATAAACTTAAAGTAGCAAAATGCGTTGGCTAAAATAATTGGGCATTTTTTTGTCTTGGTATCTTAATTTATTTGACAATTTTAATGACAATGTTACTCAGACCAGAAAAGGCAGGGAGGGAGGTTGTCTTCACTTGTCACTTGCTGCTCCAGAGTACAGCTCCACAGCATGAGTACAGAAAAATCTGGTAGGGATTAAGGCAGAGTATTGAAATCTTAAGCCAAATACTATTTCTGTTACTAATAAATTAGAATTCACTAGGTTGATTTAAAAGCCATCTGGGGATAAAACTCAAGTACTTCAAATTTCACAGTAGATAAAAGGGCCCTTTTTTAATTTATATTTTTATCTTATTTTATTTTAATTCCATTTTGAAGTATGACATCCTGTCTCATCCCTTGGTTACACCATGGGGCAAGTTATTTAGTGACAGCTACAGGAATAGCCTCCACTGCAGTTACTTTCATTCATAGCATGAAGGAAAATGAGTTGGATGCTTTTCAGCTGACAGGGCAGAACTATGAATCTTTCAGATGTTCCCAATTTTTTATGCTGCTAGCCAAATCATTTTTATTCTCCTTACTGATATGGATATTAATGTGTAAGGTTCCCTAGAGTCTCTTGCTTTTATGCAAAAGAAGGGCTGGGTGTTTTGCAAAAGTGGGATCCTATATGAGTTTTCTTTCTGACTTTATGGAGTTTAGGAGTACCTCACATCATTTATAGCTCAGCTGACAGGGGCACAATGCACATTACTAGTCATCTGCTCGGTGATTTAAAATCACCTATTGGCGACTATTGCTGATATTAGCTCAATTATTTTGTTAGATGTATTGCTTATAACATATATGTATGATGAAGACAAAAACCTTTTGTAGATTTCTAATCTTGAATCTTTTTTAAAAACTGGAAAATTTCCATTTAAGGACAAGTTCAGTTCTCAGTAGTTAAATGATGGATGTGCTATTTTGATAACAAATCATTGTTATTTGGGCCTTCCGGGTGGAAAGTGAACAGCTTTTGTAATCAGGCAGAAATGACAGGGAATTGTAGTCCTCTATTTATTAGCTGGGAGACATCAAACAATGGAAGGAATGGAATCAGTTTTTAGGATAACTTTGAGAATTAAATGAAATAGTTCCTATACAGCTGTGATGGTTAATTTTATACATCAACTTGACTGGGCCTGGGGATGCCCAGACAGCTGGTTAAACATTATTTCTGGGTGTTTCTATGAGGGTGTTTCCAGAAGAGATCAGCCAGTGAATTGGTGGACTGATAAGCATCATCCAGTCCAGTAAGGACCTGAGTAGAACAAAAAGGAGGAGGAAGGTTGAATTCACTTTCTACCTTAATGCTTGAAGTGGGACATCAACCTCCTGCCCTCAGTGCTTCTAGACTTCAGACTCTCTACATCATTGGCTCTCTGGCTCTCAGGCTTCAAACTTCACCACTGGTTTCACTGGATCTTCAGCTTGCAGATGGTGGGACTTAGCTTCCACAAACACGTGAGCCAGTATCATGTGTGTATATGTATATGTGTGTATATACATATTTCATACACACACACACACACACACACACACACACACACACACACATCTTTTATTGGCTCTGTTTGTTTGCAGAACCCTAATACAACAGTACCTAGCAGGGGCCTGCCAGACATGTACAAAAGTATCTCCATTCATGAACATTTGGATTACCTTTTTCACAATAGTTTCAAGAAGAACAAGTGTTCATTTTTGCAAATAACAGTTTTCTCAGTAATTAAAAAAAAAAGCTTCCTACTTTAAAGCATCTAGATGGTCTAGATATTATAGTCCAAGTCTATTGTGACTCAGAATTTGAGTGAGACTCAAGCATCAGTATCAAAATTTTAGATGCATTTTAAAGATTCATTTATTCACGCTTGTCTTCTAATTGCTCTTCTAACCTCTTCTTTTGGCATTCCTAAAACTTTGTCCCCATTGAAGAGGAAGCATGTGTTTCCAAGAGTTGTCTATTTTTATTACCTATAAGTTTGCAGAAAAGATGGAACAAGAGTGAGACATAGAAAAATACTTTCTCAGCCTACGTATATGGTGAGAGAGGTGGTGTTCACAAGGTTTACTTTATTTTATGTTAGCCATTTTACCCAAAATATTTTCTTAGACACTATTTTTCTTTCCTACTTATTGATTTGAAATACATTTTACATGATTAATGTTTTTTATAAAATAATGTTTGCTTTGTTCATAAATATTTGCCTTATGAATTATGTGAAAATGGATCTAATTTTTGGAGGACTGAGAGAAATTATATTTTTCACCTAAATCAATAAAGACATTTTAATAAACACATTCTACTTTAAAATTAATGATGGTGTTAAGTGGCAAGGATAAGTAGTATATAAAGTACTCAAAGGAGAAAAATATATTTTATTGGCTCATTGCTGCCATCTGCTAATGAGCCAAAGAGTTTGTGTGAAAACATACTTTTCTGTCTCTGCTTACAGCTCTTCCATCTCTAGGAGTCAACCTGAGAAGAGATTTAATAGATTACATCAAACTCAGACGCCTGCGTTATTTGATTTAACATATAAAATATTAAATATATATACACATATATTTTATATTACACATATTAGATGTACATATATAATATACAATTATCTTATATATAATACGTATAATATATTCTTTCAGTTATAATGAACTGTTGAAGTAAAGCCTAGAATTTAATTTGAAGTCTTTTTATATCAGTCATTATAAGTTTTATATTGCAATAACCAATAATTTTCTGTATTTTAGTAATAGAGTGACACATAACATCATCCCTTCTCACACTAAATGCCCACCAGGTATACACTGTAGGCTCTTTGTATTGTCATTGTCTTCACTCTCAGAATCAGGCTGACAGAATAGCCCCACCTGGAGCATTTCAGTGGTAGAGAGAAAAAGATGCTGACTAATCACGTAATGACAAATACTCAACCTAAGGTGACACTTGTCCTTGAAACTTATTGGACAGAACTAGTCACACACATTAGACAAAGACAAGGAAGATAGGAAGTGAAATTCTTACATACACCCAGCAGAACTGGACCATTTGGAAAATGGCTCTAGTTACTATTAAACTATAAACTAAGTTGTTACTGGCAGCAAGAGCATCTTGAACACATGTATTTACTCAACAGCTGCCACAGAGCTTGGCACTAACAAGGTGCCCAGAAAATGGATACCGAGTGAAGAAGATTATTGTTAAAAACAAAATTGAATGTCAATAATTTTTAAAAGCTATCCTCTCAGTAACCTTAAACTACCTGTTGAGGAAAGATGGAGATTTGCATTACATAGACTCAAATCAAATTGGCTTGTGCTTCATGGCAAGTTGTAATCAATAACCTCTAATTCCTTATTTTTAAAATGCAAATGAAACCACCTGCCCTAGGGTAGAATGCAGAAGTACTTTTTAAACTGCAATATGCTTATAATATTAAATAGATCTCATTTCTGCCATACAGAGATGAAGCCATGCAAGAAAATCCAGCTGGGATAGGTTTATAATCCAAATAAAAAATCAAAATTGCAATTATAAGCACAGATGGAAATATACAGCTCTGGATAGTGTCAGTAAGTATAAATCCAGGAACAATTTTGAAGCAAAAAAAATATTGATTAGGGAACACAGATTTCCTCAATTGGACAATCTGGAATGCCTGCCCAAATTCCCTTGATTTTTCCCATGCCTTGCCTGCCAGCATTACATGTCATCTTGTAGTCAGTTCACTGACACCCTGTAGCTCAGCTGAATAAATAAATCAGTAAACAAAGAAAAATATGCTGAGGCATGCTGTCACTTAAGAAATAAATGTAGTTGAGTAGAATTATAGAGAAAGGAAGCAGGGTATAGAAGTATAAAAAGAAAGAATGTGTAAGTGATTAAATGTGAGGTCATGCACAGGGAACTGTAAGACAAGTGAAGGAAGAATTATTACAATGGAGACGTTTAGACTAAGATGGACAAGGTCTGTGTTCAAAGTACAAATGTGTATAATTTTTTTAAAGCAACCTTTGTTTTAGGTAACCCATTAGGTTCTATAAAGCTAATGACTAACCAACTCCAAAATATAAACTATTAGAGAATCCACATATAGGAGCTTTGAGGTTCAGCCATACTACTGCTATGCTGAGGACTAGCAATATTCCTTGGATAATTGGATTGCATTGCCTGCTGCTTTTATATCTCATCTCACTTGGGCATGTATTTGATATTCAGAGAAAATTTAGGGTAACTAATGAATACTGCAAGCACAAATGAATATTATTTTCATGCAGATTTTTTGGCAACTGCGTAAAACATTTGGAGAGAGCAACCCAACATCAGAAGCATGGATGGAGGATGGAGGCTTTGCATTCTAATCATATGCCCGCCTCTAGCTCCATACTTAATCTCCTTGGGTCTTCCCTCCGTCTCCTGGCTGCACCATCTGGCTAACTGAACTGAGAGTTCTCATTGTATATGTTATCTGACAATAGAATAGTGATCATTTAAAATTCAAATAAAGAACTGTCAAAGAATTGAGTCATAAATCAAAGTCCCTGTTTTTGTCTTATAAACATTCTGAACTTCTAAGTAGCTGTTGGGCATTTCATTTACTTTCTAGATCCCTTTAGAAGGCAGAAAGATATAGCTAAAATACACAGAGAATTTGAAGCCAGAAAGTATTAGGCTTTGTTCTAACAATTACTAGCAGAACTAGAATGAATCACTTCATGTCTCTTAATGAGCGGTAGTTACATCAAATTTTAAAAGAGTACAGCAAAGTATTCTTTGCTGTCTGTGGGATTATATGAGTCATTCACTTAAACATTTTATGTATTGTACAGCAATATACAAGCATAAGAAAATGCAAACTTTAGCACACGGTTTCAAAGAAATAATTCTAGAAAATCATAAAAATGCCCAAATATAGTAATATTTTTAATATTTCCAAATCAGTAGAAATCTCACATTTATCTAAAATATGGATGCATGATCATTGCATAACAAATGCTTTGACAAATACACTGATGGTTGAGTTCATTAAGGAAGGTGAATCTTGATGTTAAAATGGTTGGAAATCAGTGGTGTAGGGAGTCCTTGTTGTATATACCTTAACATTGTGAAAGTTGATCATACAATTTGGTTTATTCTTGTCATACTCAACTAAAAAGAGAGTTGAGGCTGGGTGCAGTGGCTCACGCCTGTAATCCCAGCATATTGGATGGCTGAGGCGGGTGGATCACTTGACTTGAGGTCAGGAGTTGAAAACCAGCCTGGGCAATAAGGTGAAACCCCGTCTCTACCAAAAATACAAAAAAATTAGCTGGGCGTGGTGGCACATGTCTGTAGTTCCAGCTACTCAGGAAGCTGAGGCAGGAGGGTTGCTTGAGCCTAGGAGACGGACGTTGCAGTGAGCAGAGATTGCACCACTGCAGTCCAGCCTGGGTGACAGAGTGAGACTCCATCTCAAAAAAAAAAAAATAACAATAAATAAATAATTAAAAATATAAAAATAAAAATAGAGTTGAGAAGCCACTGGTGAAAAGCATCAGGGCACAAAACATTGCTTCAAATATGTAATTCTATAAACCTAGCTGCTGAAACTGCCTGCTGTAACCTGAAACCAGTTTTAACCAATAGCTAATGAAACAACCAGCTGCAACTCTAAGAACAGTTCTGTCCACCACCATCACTTACCAATGAGAGCTTGCTGGCTCCTCAAAACCTTGCTAGTGCCAAGACAATTTCTCAAAGAGTAATAAATAACATTTCTCCTTTTTTGTAAAATGTCTAATCTTCTCTTTGTCCTTCAGACATACCAAAGACCACCTGGTTTGTATGTATGCCCCAAATTGTAATTATTTCTCCCTAAACAAAATATTTTAATTTTAGAGATTTATCTCTATATTTTACTTGACTTTGACAACTCTAACATCTTATTGAAAAATATGAACAATCTATGAGATAGCAGGAGAGTAACTTTTATATGCCTCCTAATGTTTATGCCCTTTTTTTGAAAAGTGTTTAATTTCCTGGCATAAAACTTTTAGGTTCATATTCCATTTCAAAGATAGTTTATCTTGTGTTAACTATAACAGTATTTAATATTTGTCTCAATAATGGAAACATCCACAGAGATAAACTAGTTTTTGTGTAAGCTCCTTCATAAGGAAAACCATAGCTAACATTTATTACATTCTTCCTATGTCCCATGTACAGAATAAAGACTGTGTGTGTGTATGTGTGTGTATAGTTTTATTTGAATAAGAGTTATGTAATGAGGTAAGCAGAGACTTGTTCAAGGTCACTCAATGCAGATGTTTTGTCTCCAGTGCCTTATTCAGTTGACTAAGAAACTCCGTACATAACACAGTACTTTGGTGGCTAGCCAGCAGGATATTGGCATATGTCACAGATTTAAAGAAAAGAAAAAGAAAGAATGGTTTTTCATATGTTATGGTATGCCTCAAATAAACCACAATAAAGTGCCAAACAGAAGGTGAATGTTCACTTTGTGGAATGGATTTTATACAGAGGACAAAGGGACTCAATTCATATTCAAAGCAAAGCACACATTTTAGGAACAGTTAAATGCTGATTACTTTTCTGCAATTCTGTTTTAATTAAATACTACCATTAAGCACCACACTAAATAATGTGCTAACATTTCAGTTTGCAGATAAGATATTAATCTGAGGTTCACCACCACAAAAGTGTTAGAAGATTGGACTTAGAAGTCTAGTGGTTTTCACAGGACTGTCCCACTACAACTTTGTGTTTATAGAGACATCTGCACCTAAATTGTGTTCACCTACAACTGTGATGAGCCAGCCTCTTTCAGTGCTGCATATACACAAATTCAAATGAAGAACACGAGTGATTAGAATTATGTAAATGGAAACATGAGTTCTGTTATTCTTTTGGCTCTGACACTACCGGTTTTGAAACATAATATGCTATAAACGATGACACTGCAGAAGAACAGAAAGTTTATAAGAAACCCCTCATTTGACAGATTATAAACTGAAGTTTGGAGAATTGAAGGTGTTTTCAAAAGATCACACAGATAGTTGGTGGCACAATAAGATGACATCCCAGCTTTGAGCAATTCATGTTATTTTTACGGATATTAATTCATTCTGGAAAACAAAAACTTCAACAAGAATACTACTTAGCTACATCTCACACAAAGGGCTGTAGGTATTGTTTAAAGTTTCAAATGAAAATTATATGTATACAGGAAACAATAATCCAAGAGACTTAGACTTCACAGTTAAGCGACCCAATCTCTCAGAGCTGTGGTTTCCTCATATTACACAACTGTGTGTGTGCGTGTGTGTGTGCACACATGTGAAAGTTCATAGAATATAAAGTTGGTGGAGGTATCTTTTGATCAGCATTTCAAGAGATCTTTGATTGTATAAACTTAATATTCTTCATATATACTATTTGTTTAGAAGACACTGATATAGTCAGTTAAAATATAAAACTTTACAGAGACAAGAAGTCAAATTCTTTTTATTACCTTGCTTTAGAATAAGTAGTCATCAGAATTTTACGGTATGGCAGACTTTAAGGGAAGATTAAAGTCTTCATTTGCTTATTTATCACATGAGTGCCCAGCAAGCATAAACATAATCACAAATTATGTATTAATCTATAAAATTAGAATGCTAGCCTCCTATTAATTAGTCACTTAGTGCATTAAGCAATTATTAGATCTATGAAAGAGTCAGTTTCTTCATCTGTAAAACTGAAATATTAAAACCTCTGTTAGGACTTCCTGAGAGGCTAACCAGAAACAGTATATATAAAATACTCAGGATAATGCCTTCTGCAGAGTAAACAGCAATAAATGTAAATGTTATTACTACTTTCATCAATAACTATACATTGAAATATTATATGTTCAATTTGTTTTACTGTAACTTGAGTGAAATGTAAGCTTGATGTCTCTTTTGCAATTAAGCCCTAAATCCATAATAGGAACATAGAGATTAAAAAGCAGCAGTATTGGAAAAAAAGTATTTCAGAAAGAATAATGAGAATCAAAAATATACACACTCTTATGAGGCAGATGATATACTTTGGAAAGAATGATGAAGAGCAAAAACATAAGAATAAAGAAAAAGTTGTATGGAAGAAGTTATTTATTATTAGGTTGGTGTACAAGTATGTGTGGGTTTTGCTACTAAAAGTAATAATAACTATTTTGTATTTCCTTCAAAAATAAAAAAGAATTTTTTGCTCTAGGAATGTCGGACCTCAAAGTTTTCTTCCCGTTTCTAAATTTAAAACCATCATTGTGTGCAATGACAGACTCGCTCCCCAAAGTCTGTATTATCATCATTATTATTGCCAATAACATCTTCTAAATATCTGGAGAAAGCAAAAACAACATAAACTGTAGCTCTATAAAGATGCTCTTTGCATATCTGTACTCAAGTTTAAGCAGTATAAATGACAGTCATATTAAAACAAAGCAAAACAACCAAGGGTAGAAAAATAAAGACACTTGTGTCCCAAAACTGAAAAGAGAGAGATTTTTTTGAAGGGTTCATAATTTAGTATTGCTGAAGGGGTTAACCATTAAGATCCACGTCATAAAAAAATCCATTTCAATATTGCCTTTTCAATTCCATTTGGCTGAAAATAAATAAATGAAAACTGCTGTTTGTTAAGAATGTCCATTACTTCAATATACGTGTAAATTGAATGTTGGGAAAAAGCTTGCAGTAGGGTTTCAAGAATTGAGTAATTTGCATTCTTATATTTCAGGGAAAGTTGGTTTAAGCAAAATATTAATGTGACAAGTAACTATGAGCTTGGAGGTAGAAAAGCATATTAATGTACAGATCTTATTTCACTGAAGGAATATGACACTTCTGGACAGCTCAAGAGATTGGCTGCAGTATATGGAAGGAAAGAAAGGTGATCACTGAAGCCACACTGTGCTGCTTTATGACACTCAAGTCATAGCAGACATTAATAAGTCACTAGCTATTTTCATATGCTTGTCATAACCTTCGTGTCACAATTTCAGTGAAGAGGCAATATAAGACAAAGAACTTCAGGGAGAGAAAGTTAAAGCAAGCCTGTCGAGGATCAGCAGGCCCAAATTTGATCTGCCTTCTGTTTTTCTCACTGTTCCCTGAGAAGCTTGTGTCAATCTCACTTGGCCAAATTTTCGAACATGGCACCTAATTTGGGAAGTGTCTGAACACAATCAAGTTGTCACAGCCCATCTTGTGGGCATTCTGACTTTCTGGTAATGATACTAATTTGGAAAACAAAATTTAGAGTATTATGCTTTTATTAGCCTCTATGAAATTAGAATTGATATTTTGCCTTTTAAAGTTGTAAACATAACATATCTTAAGAAGTGCTCTGAAATTAGTAAGACCCTTAAAGTAATATCAGTTCTTGTGTATGACTTTGTGATGCTCTCAAAACAACTGATGGGAGGTTTATCCACAGACTCTTTAGTCACATATAAATAATGAATAGGAGATTAAAAGCAAAAAGCCTAGGACACTGTGTAACATTTTTGGGATAAAGACATTTTAATTAAATAACTATTACTATGAATATCATAGTAATTTCTGCATAGCAAATGCTATGCAGAAATCAATATGTATCAACCACTAAGAAATTTTAAAAATATTAAATAGGGTATCCTTTCCCCATTGCTTGTTTTTCTCAGGTTTGTCAAAGATCAGATAGTTGTAGAAATGCAGCGTTATTTCTGAGGGCTCTGTTCTGTTTCATTGATCTATGTCTCTGTTTTGGTACCAGTACCATGCTGTTTTGGTTACTGTAGCCTTGTAGTATAGTTTGAAGTCAGGTAGTGTGATGCCTCCAGCTTTGTTCTTTTGGCTTAGGATTGCCTTGGTGATGCGGGCTCTTTTTTGGTTCCATATGAACTTTAAAGTAGTTTTTTCCAATTCTGTGAAGAAAGGCATTGGTAGCTTTATGGGGATGGCATTGAATCTGTAAATTACCTTGGGCAGTATGGCCATTTTCACGATATTGATTCTTCCTACCCATGAGCATGGAATGTTCTTCCATTTGTTTGTATCCTCTTTTATTTCCTTGAGCAGTGGTTTGTAGTTCTCCTTGAAGAGGTCCTTCACGTCCCTTGTAAGTTGGATTCCTAGGTATTTTATTCTCTTTGAAGCAATTGTGAATGGGAGTTCACTCATGATTTGGCTCTCTGTTTGTCTGTTGTTGGTGTATAAGAATGCTTGTGATTTTTGTACATTGATTTTTATCCTGAGACTTTGCTGAAGTTGCTTATCAGCTTAAGGAGATTTTGGGCTGAGACAATGGGGTTTTCTAGATATACAATCATGTCGTCTGCAAACAGGGACAATTTGACTTCCTCTTTTCCTAATTGAATACCCTTTATGTCCTTCTCCTGCCTAATTGCCCTGGCCAGGACTTCCAACACTATGTTGAATAGGAGTGGTGAGAGAGGGCATCCCTGTCTTGTGCCAGTTTTCAAAGGGAATGCTTCCAGTTTTTGCCCATTCAGTATGATATTGGCTGTGGGTTTGTCATAGATAGCTCTTATTATTTTGAAATACGTCCCATCAATACCTAATTTATTGAGAGTTTTTAGCATGAAGGGTTGTTGAATTTTGTCAAAGGCTTTTTCTGCATCTATTGAGATAATCATGTGGTTTTTGTCTTTGGCTCTGTTTATATGCTGGATTACATTTATTGATTTGTGTATATTGAACCAGCCTTGCATCCCAGGGATGAAGCCCACTTGATCATGGTGGATAAGCTTTTTGATGTGCTGCTGGATTCGTTTTGCCAGTATTTTATTGAGGACTTTTGCATCAATGTTCATCAATGATATTGGTCTAAAATTCTCTTTTTTGGTTGTGTCTCTGCCAGGCTTTGGTATCAGAATGATGCTGGCCTCATAAAATGAGTTAGGGAGGATTCCCTCTTTTTCTATTGATTGGAATAGTTTCAGAAGGAATGGTACCAGTTCCTCCTTGTACCTCTGATAGAATTCAGCTGTGAATCCATCTGATCCTGGACTCTTTTTGGTTGGTAAGCTATTGATTATTGCCACAATTTCAGAGCCTGTTATTGGTCTATTCAGAGATTCAACTTCTTCCTGGTTTAGTCTTGGTAGGGTGTATGTGTCCAGGAATTTATCCATTTCTTCTAGATTTTCTAGTTTATTTGCATAGAGGTGTTTGTAGTATTCTCTGATGGTAGTTTATATTTCTGTGGGATCAGTGGTAATATCCCGTTTATCATTTTTTATTGCGTCTATTTGATTCTTCTCTCTTTTTTTCTTTATTAGTCTTGCTAGTGGTCTATCTATTTTGTTGATCCTTTCAAAAAACCAGCTCCTGGATTCATTAATTTTTTGAAGGGTTTTTTGTGTCTCTATTTCCTTCAGTTCTGCTCTGATTTTAGTTATTTCTTGCCTTCTGCTAGCTTTTGAATGTGTTTCCTCTTGCTTTTCTAGTTCTTTTAATTGTGATGTTAGGGTGTCAATTTTGGATCTTTCCTGCTTTCTCTTGTGGGCATTTAGTGCTATAAATTTCCCTCTACACACTGCTTTGAATGCATCCCAGAGATTCTGGTATGTTGTGTCTTTGTTCTCATTGGTTTCAAAGAACATCTTTATTTCTGCCTTCATTTCGTTACGTACCCAGTAGTCATTCAGGAGCAGGTTGTTCAGTTTCCATGTAGTTGAGCGGTTTTGAGTGAGATTCTTAATCCTGAGTTCTAGTTTGATTGCACTGTGGTCTGAGAGTTAGTTTGTTATAATTTCTGTTCTTTTACATTTGCTGAGGAGAGCTTTACTTCCAAGTATGTGGTCAGTTTTGGAATAGGTGTGGTGTGGTGCTGAAAAAATGTATATTCTGTTGATTTGGGGTGGAGAGTTCTGTAGATGTCTATCAGGTCCGCCTGGTGCAGAGCTGAGTTCAATTCCTGGGTATCCTTGTTGACTTTCTGTCTCATTGATCTGTCTAATGTTGACAGTGGGGTGTCCTATTTAATAAATGGTGCTGGGAAAACTGGCTAGCCATATGTAGAAAGCTGAAACTGGATCCCTTCCTTACACCTTATACAAAAATCAATTCGAGATGGATTAAAGACTTAAACATTAGACCTAAAACCATAAAAACCCTAGAAGAAAACCTAGGCATTACCATTCACGACATAGGCATGGGCAAGGACATCATGTCTAAAACACCAAAAGCAATGGCAACAAAAGCCAAAATTGACAAATGGGATCTAATTAAACTAAAGAGCTTCTGCACAGCAAAAGAAACTACCATCAGAGTGAACAGGCAACCTACAAAATGGGAGAAAATTTTCGCAACCTACTCATCTGACAAAGGGCTAATATACAGAATCTACGATGCACTCAAACAAATTTACAAGAAAAAAACAAACAATCCCATCAAAAAGTGGGCAAAGGACATGAACAGACACTTCTGAAAAGAAGACATTTATGCAGCCAAAAAACACATGAAAAAATGCTCATCATCACTGGCCATCAGAGAAATGCAAATCAAAACCACTATGAGATACCATCTCGCACCAGTTAGAATGGCAATCATTAAAAAGTCAGGAAACAACAGGTGCTGGAGAGGATGTGGAGAAATAGGAACACTTTTACACTGTTGGTGGAACTGTAAACTAGTTCAACCATTGTGGAAGTCAGTGTGGCGATTCCTCAGGGATCTAGAACTAGAAATACCATTTGACCCAACCATCCCATTACTGGGTATATACCCAAAGGACTATAAATCATGCTGCTATAAAGACACATGCACACGTATGTTTATTGTGGCATTATTCACAATAGCAAAGACTTGGAACCAACCCAAATGTCCAACAATGATAGACTGGATTAAGAAAATGTGGCACATATACACCATGGAATACTATGCAGCCATAAAAAATGATGAGTTCATGTCCTTTGTAGGGACATGGATGAAATTGGAAATCATCATTCTCAGTAAACTATCGCAAGAACAAAAAACCAAACACCACATATTCTCACTCATAGGCGGGAATTGAACAATGAGATCACATGGACACAGGAAGGGGAACATCACACTCTGAGGACTGTTATGGGGTGGGGGGAGCGGGGAGGGATAGCATTGGGAGATATACGTAATGCTAGATGATGAGTTTGTGGGTGCAGCACACCAGCATGGCACATGTATACATATGTAACTAACCTGCACAATGTGCACATGTACCCTAAAACTTAAAGTATAATAATAAAAGAAAAAAAAGACTTTCTGCAAAAAAAAAAAAAAGAAATTTTAAAAATATTAAGAGAAAGAAATTAGGTAAGTCCTGTGTATATTTATGATACTAATACTGCTTATTTTTTATTTGCAGATCTGAACTTACTGCTGAAATTTGCATTAATGTTACTAAGCACCTAGATCATCTTCATGCCTTTAATAAAAGTTTTAATCGAAGTCTAGAAAGAGATTAAAGGTTACTTCATTAAGCCTAGGCATGTAGAAAATAGCTACACAACACTGTGTAAAGAGAGAACAGTGAACACACATTTACAGTTAGTAATTTTTAATCTATTTATGTTTTCTACAACAGAATAGTTTATATTAAAACATTTTCTACCAAAAAAGAAAAATAAATTTGGAATTAATTTTTAAATAATTATATCTGTTTTTCTTCCTAATTGCATCACGTATTTTTGTTAAAATTGCAAGGATTTCTTTCGCCTTTCATTGAACACAAAACATATTAACTAAACTAGTATCAGTAGATTTTAAATGTATATGCATACATATCATGAGGATTTATATTTTAATTGTATTTTTAATAATTTTTATGAAATAGATACAAAAACACATGCACCCTTCAAATTGTATTCTCCTTATGTTTCAGTTCCAGTTTAGGTTTGTCATCTGCATAAATGTATTAAGGACCCAGGTTTCTTTTGACTGTTTTTACTCTATAACCCCATTGTTCCCATCTAGTTGTTTGAAGCTGCTTATTCTACCAACCCCAAGAAAGGAGAAAGAGAAGAAATAAAGAGGAAGCAATAGTCTGTTAAGGAGTTGGCATCGGATTTGTCTGTTTGGCAGCTGCTTATATTTTTTAATACTAAGCATAACTTTAAAATTCATATAATAATTCTCTGAGATGATTTTTTAAATACTGATTCTCTTTTCTGCTTGTTTGATTTTTGTGTCCAACTTTTAGGTTCAAGGGGCACATATTCACGTTTGTTAACACAAGTAAACTAATGCTGTAGGGTGCTGGTGTACAGATTATTTTGTCACCCAAGTAATGAGCATATTACCCAACAGGTAGTTTTTCAATCCTCACTCTCCACCGACCCTCCACCATCAAGTAGGATCTTATGTCTATTGTTCCCTTCTTTGTGTCCATGTATAATCGATGTTTAGCTCCAGCTTACAAAATGGAATATGCAGTATTTGGTTTTCTGTCACTGTGTTAATTTGCTTAGGATAATGGCTTCCAACTTCATCCACGTTGCTGCAAAGGACACGATTTTGACTTTTTTTTGTGGCTTCCTAGTATTTCATGGTGTATGTGTACCACATTTTCTTTATCTAGTCCACCATTAATGGGCATCTAGGTTGATTTCATGTCTTTGCTATTATGAACAGTGCTGTGATGAATATATGCATGCATGTGTCTTTTTGGTAGAATGATTTATATGAACAACTTCAATAAAGCTTCAGGATACAAAATTAATGTACCAAAAATGTAACATTTCTATACACCAATAACATCCAAGCTGAGAGCCGAATCAAGGATGTAATCACATTCACAACAGCCACAAAAAGAAAAAATACTTGGGAATACAGCTAACCAGGGAGTGAAAGATCTCTACAACAAGAATTGTAAGACATTGTTGAAAGAAATTAGAGACAACACAAACAAATGGAAAAACATTTCATTGTCACAGACAGGAATAATTAATGTTGTTAAAATGGCCATACTGCCCAAAACAATTCATGGATTCAGTGATATTTCTTTCAAAGTACCAATGATATTTTTCACAGAAATAAAAAAAAACTATGCTACAATTCATATGTAACAAGAACAAAAAAGCCCAAATAGTCAAAGCAATCCTAAGCAAAAAGAACAAAGCTAGAGGAATCACACTGCCTGACTTCAAACTATACTACAAGGCTACAACAACCACAACAGCATGGTACAGGTAGAAAAACAGACACATGGACCAATAGAACATAATAGAGAACTGAGACATAAAGCTGCACAACTATAACCATCTGATCTTCAACAAAGCTGACAATAACAAGCAATGGGGAAAGAATTCTGCCAAGTCTGTCCTGCAGACTCTGGCCGAGCGACAGATGAAAGCAGTACTCAGACACAGGTATCCAGTGAAAGAGCAGGCTAGGGGACTGCCAGCACTGGGGGCTGAAGAGAGTTAGCAGCCCCCCATGGCAGTGATGCTTGCATTTATTTAGTAGAGATTTAATGACAAAGGCCTGGAGCAAACACAGTTTTTGGGTAATTAACAGTGTCGACCCCTGAGTAGAGAGCAGTCCTGCATGTGATTGATCACAGGTTGGTTTCTGGAGACCAGAATAAACAAATTTATCTAGATAAGTTCCTTTACATTCCCTTGTTATCTACCCTTTGCTTTCAGGCTCCTGATAAGAGAATCTGGCTGCCTTCAGCCAAATCCTCTTTCGAAGCTTTTGCAAAACCTCCCAGCCTTCCAAGAAGGTTCACATCTTTCCTTTTTTCTTACAATTTCTCCTACCACCCTGACCGATCTCTCACAGGACTCCATTTTGAACAAATGGTGCTGGGATAACTGGCTAGCCACATTAAGAAGATTGACTCTGTATGCCTTCCTTACACCATACACAAAAGTCAACTCAAGGTAAGTTAAAGACTTAAATGTAAAACCTAAAACTATAAAAACTCTCGAAAAAACTTAGGAAATACTATTCTGGTCAAAGGCCTTGCAAAGATGTTATGACAAAGCCTCCAAAAGCAATATTAACAAAAACGAAAATTGACAAGTGGGACCTAATTCAACTGAAGAGCTTCCACACAGCAAAAGAAATTATCAACAGAAAACGTAAAACCTAAAACTATAAAAACTCTTGAAGAAAACCTAAGAAATACTATTCTGGTCAAAGGCCTTGCAAAGATGTTATGACAAAGACTCCAAAAGCAATTTTAACAAAAACAAAAATTGACAAGTGGGACCTAATTCAACTGAAGAGCTTCCACACGGCAAAATAAATTATCAACAGAGTAAATAAACAACCTACAGAATGGGAGAAAAATATTTGCATACTATGCACCTGACAAAGGTCTAATATCCAGAATCTATGAGGATCTTAAACAAATTATCAAGCTAAAAACAGACAACCCTATTTAAAAATGGGCAGAAGACATAAGCAGATACATCTCAAGAGAAGACATTCATATGACCAACAAGTATAGGAAACAAAATGCTCAACATCACTAATTATTAGATAAATGCAAATCAAAATCTCAGTGAGATATCATCTGACACCAATCAGAATGGCTATTACTAAAATGTCAAAATGACAGATGCTTGTGAGGTTTCTGAGAAAGGGAACATTTATACACTGCTGGTGGGAATGTAAATTGGTTCAGCCACTGTAGAAAGCAGTTTAGATATTTCTCAAAGAACTTAAAATAGAACTACCATGCTACCCTGCAATCCCATTGCTGGGTATATACCCAAAGGAATACAGATTGCTCTACCATAAAGACAGATGCTTATTTTCTATTAGTGAGAAGTTAGTAACATGTGAATAGACAAGGAAAGCCAGGAAATATAGTCTCCACCCGGATTCCCATGGATCATGCTAAAACAAGATTGGAAAGGGGTGGTGTGAGAATAGGTACTAGGGCAAGTTAGCAAGCTTTGCTGTATTGATGCATTTTCTTTTTTATTTCAATTTATTTTTTATTTGACAAATAAAAATTGTATATATCGTGTAGAATATGTTTTGAAATACATATACATGGTAAAATGACTAAAGCTAATTTACATATGTATTACCTCACATACTTCTTTTGTGGTAAACAAACACTTAAAGGCTACTGTCTTATCAATTTTTAAGAATATAATACATTGTCATTAACTATAGTTACCATGTTGTACAATAGAGGTCTTGAATTTAGTCCTCTTCTCTAACTGAAACTATGTAACCTTTGATCTACATCTCCCCAAACCCCGATAACCTCCAGTCCCTGGTAACCATAATTCTACTCTCTACTTCTGAATTCAACATTTTTAGATTCCACATATGAGTATGGTATAGTCATGCATTGCTTAACAACAGGGTTATATTCTAAGAAATGTGTCCTTAGATGATTTCCTTGTTATACAAACATTATCATCTACTTACACAAATCTAGGTGATATAGCTTACTACGCTCCTAAGCTGTATAGAATGGCCTACTGTTCCTGGGCTGCAAATCTGTATAGAATGCTACTGTACTGAAGACTGTAAAGAATTGTAACAGTGTAAGTATCTGTGTATCTAAACATAGAAAAGGCCCAATAAAATATGATATAAAACATTAAAAAAATGGCCTAACTACATAGGGTATTTATCATGAATGAAGTTTTCAGGACTGTTGTTGCTCTGGATAAGTCAGTGAGTGAGTGGCGCGTGAATATGAAGGCCTAGAACATTATTATATGACACTTTGCAAACGCAAACACTGTACACCTAGGCTACACTGAATTGATAAAAAATATTTTCTTTCTTAAATAATTAACCTTAATTTACTGTAACTTTTTTTTTTTTTTTTTTTGAGACGGAGTCTCGCTCTGTCGCCCAGGCTGGAGTGCAGTGGCGTGATCTCGGCTCACTGCAAGCTCCGCCTCACAGTTTCATGCCATTCTCCTGCCTCAGCCTCCCAAGTAGCTGGAACTACAGGCACCTGCCACCACGCCTGGCTAATTTTTTGTATTTTTAGTAGAGACAGGGTTTCACTATGTTAGCCAGGATGGTCTTGATCTCCTGACCTTGTGATCTGCCTGCCTCAGCCTCCCAATTTATTGTAACATTTATTTCCACTTTAGAAACTGTTATTTTTTTTAAAAAATTTGATTCTTGTAATAACACCTTAAAACACAAATACATTGTACAGCAGTAAAAATATTTTCCTTCTTTATATTTTTAGTCTATATGCTTTTTCATATTATTTATTTATTTATTTTACTTTTCAAATTTTTTTGTCAAAAACTAAGAAACAAACGCACCCATTAACTTAGGCCTACACAGGGGCAGAATCATTATCACTGTCTTCCACCAGTATATCCTGTCCTACTGGAAGGTCTTTAAAGGAAATAACATGAACGTGGTTGTCATCTCCTAGGATAACAATGCCTTCTTCTGGAATTCCTCCTGAAGGACCTGCCTAAGCCTGTTTTACAGTTTGCTATTCTTTTAATATGTAGAAGGAGTATGCTCTAAAATATTGATAAAAAGAATAGTATATTAAATATATAAACCAGTAATATAGTCATTTATCTTTATTATATTATGTATTGCACATAACTATATGTGCTACTGTTTATACTGCTGGTAGCCCAGCAGGTTTGTTTACACCAGCATCACCACAAATACGAGAATAATGTGCTGCACTGCAGTGTTAGGGTGGTGACTATGAAGTCACTAAGGAATAGAGATTTTTCAGCTTCATTTTCATCTTATTGGAACTCATCCCATATGTGTCCATCATTGACTAAAAGATTATGTGGTACATGACTATATTTGTTTTCTGTCCCTGGCTTATTTAACATAACATCCTTCCTATTCATACATGTTATATTAGTCCATTCTCACACTGCTATGAAGAAATACCCAAGACTAGATAATTTATAAAGAAAAGACATTTAAGTGACTCACAGTTCCACATGGCTGGAGAGTCCTCAGGAAACTTAGAATCATGGTGGAAGGAAAAGTAAACATGTTCGTCTTCACACAGTGGCAGGAGAGAGAAGTGCCAGCAGGGAAGATGCCAGATGCTTATAAAACCATCAGATCTCACTCACTCACTATCACAAGAACAGCATGGGGGAAACCTTCCCCATGATCCGATCACTTCCCATTGGGTCTCTCCCATGACATGTGGGAATTATAGAAACTACAATTCAAGATGAGATTCGGGTGGGGGTACAGCCAAACTATATCATATGTTAACACAAATGGCAGGATTTCCTTCTTTTGTGGCTGAATATTATCCCACTCTGTGTATACACACCACATTTTCTTTATCCCTTCATATGTGGAAGGACATTTAGATTGTTTTTGTATCTCGGCTGTTGTGAATAGTGATGTAGTGAACATGGGCATACCTTTGAGATGCTGATTTTGTCCCCTTCCAATATCTACCCAGTAGTTGGATTGCTGGATCATATGGTTTTTCTATTTTTAATTTTTTGAGGACCCTCCATACTATTTCCATAATGGCTGTACTAATTTAAATTCCCACCAACAGGGTGTGAGGTTCTCCTTTCTCCACATCTTCTCTAACACTTTCTGATTAGAAAATTTTAAAATATCCATCTTTTCAAGTAAATCCATAAGTACTTTGAAGTTGAGAGTTCCTAGGCATTATTACTCTTTTAAGTTAGTACTGCTTAAAACTTAATCTGGTGAAAAATCCTTCCTCTCTGTGGCCTCTTGCTTTATCAGAATTAAAGCAGTTATGAGCTCAGATCCATTGCATGTGTTACACAGTCCATGATGGTAACGGTAATAAGTGGCAATATTGCACACCTTTTTGAAAGGAACTGGTCAGTGACACTCCCCTTTCTGAACATTACATGGCAAACAAAGAATTCCAAATGATTTATAAATAGCAGTAGATTGTAGCATGGTAACAGAATGGAGATTAGAATGCAGAATATATTTGACAAGATCACAGAAAATATCAAATCATAATCCCATAATAAGAAAATATGAATTCTTATTTAATTCACAACACAGCAATATCCCCATACAGTGCAATTAAAACTTTCATATGTAATCATTCTGACTTGTCTTGGATGCAAGTGTCTTACGTGGATCTGCTGTCGTAAAAAAAAATAAGTGGAATTAGTGTGGGTTATAAAGGTATAACTTCAATTTATGAGATTAAAAAGTTTGTAATTTGGTTTCTAAAATCTTTAGGTTCTAGATTGGCATGTCCCATTCAATTTATTTTTATAAATTTTTAAAATATTTGGCAAATAATTGTTAAAGGCTTAGTTTAACTATTGAGGAAATACAATTTGCTTACTTGAGAAGGGTCCCAAATTTGTGAAAATCACTATTTACAGTTGACAGAATGGCAGGATCAAAGGACGAACACTAATTACCCCAAAGTAAAGAACTTGGATATAAATAGGTTAATGTATATTTGTCCACAAAGCAGATGGCTTTATGGTTCAAGAAATGGATAGTATAGTGGACAAATTGTCAAGGATCAAAACGGTATTCAATTACTCAATTGCTTCTTGCATGCATTATTTGTTCCTCTGACAGAAACAAAGAATTTAGCAGAGGGAATAAAATAGTCTATTCCTCCATGAAATTTAAATCCTAGAGAGAAATATCAAGACAATAAACAAATAATTACAATTTTGATGAATGTCATGAAGGGAGATACAGAGAAATTATTAACTGAGGCACCCTATCTACTCAGGGGAGATTCACAAAAAAAAAGTGAGATCTTAGTTAATACACAAAGGATGATGTAAACCTACCTATGTGTAGAGGTAGTGGTGGTGAACAGGAGTCCTAGGAAGAAGGATTTCCTGTTTTAATGTCTCAGTATGAAAAAAAGTAATTCCATTTGCTTGAAGCATAAGTAAGAGAGTAGAGAGGGGTGAGAGATGAACTTCAACATGTGTAGAGACAAAATTTTGTAGGATATCTTTTTTCCATACTAAGAACTTGGTACACCTAAAAAATGGCAAAGGGAAATTATTAAAGGGTTTTTGGTAAGGTGAAGGTGTAATTAGACTTGCATTTCTAAACAATGACTCTGTAACAGGGAAAAGTGTAGATTAAAGAAAGATTGGATCTGAACTATAAAGAAGGCCAAGGGGCTCTATCCCTAGTTTGGGCAGTAAAGGGCAGTGGGTGTCTGGCTTACAGCAACGGCAATGGAGGTGAAAAGAAGTTGACAAAATGATGGAGAGGGTGTGGATCATTAACATTTGGTGAGTAACTAGTAAGTTAAATTTTTTATTAACACAAAATAATAACATTTGTTGAAGGAAGAGTAAGGAAAAGAGAAGAGTCAAGGATGATTCCAAAACTGCTGGCTTCAACAACTTGGTGTATATAATTATCATTTAATATGTTTTAAAACAGCAGAGGAAGGATAGTTGGGAAGGTGGGGGAGGGTTATGAAACCATTAGTTTAAATTGTGTTTAAGACATAAAAGTAGAACTATCTAGTAAGGCATTAGACATATAATTTGTAGTTCAAGACAAGTTCTAGATTGAAGATAAAAATTCAAGGGTTCTCATCCTATCTTTGGCAGCTGAATCAATGACAGTGGATGAGATTACTTAGGGAGAATATTAATGGACAACAAGTACACATTAAGAAAAGTTAAATCAAGACACAGAATTAAGTGAATGATATTCTTTCACTTTACTAAACAAAGGGCTTATACAAAGTTATTCACATACTTCTCCATTATTAGCATATAACTAGGATCAACAAAAAAAGTAATGATTTTTAAATAATAATTACTGGTTTCAAAGACAAAATCAGCTAATTTAAAAGTTTGAAGAATTATAAAATATAACAATTAAATAATATAAAATTACTTAGTAATATAAATAAGTTAATTAAAATAAAAATGCCCTAAAGAAGACATTGAATATAACATTCTAGGACTATAAAAATGATTATGTGTCCTAGTAACAGACTGTCTAGTTAATGACACTAAATGCCCCTTATTAGATAATATATTAAAAATTATTTACCTAAAACCCAGTTGTTATTCTGCATGTGACTGTCTAGAGATGCTCAAGAAAAGTTCAGGTGAAAATCTGAAACAAAGTTTCAGGTTGTATTGAAGTGTTTTATTGGGCACAATAGTTCTCATAATAAGAAAATAAGAAGGCACATGTGTACATTTTTGTAGGAATTAACTTTCTCTCTTTAAGACTCATCTTTACTCCTCTTGCTAATACTTAGAGATACTTTAGTTATTAAGTTTATGATCCTAAAAAAGTTGGTAACTTTGCCTTAAAAATTAATGTGAAGTAATCTTGGGAGAGGAGAAAAGGATACTAGAGTTACAAGACCTACATTTACATCCTGACTTTACCATTTACTTAAATTTTATGAACTTCAGTGATTTCATATGAAAAAGTTATAAAAGATACTTCTATTACTGTGCAAACCAATTTGTGAAGAATAAAAAAAGATGAGATAAGTGATTTTATTACAATATTCAAGGCGGCTTAATTGCTACTTGGAATTGGATCATATAAATAAGGAGAACTATTATCACAAGTTTCAAGGAGAAAAATAAAAAGGAATCTATCTGTGACATAATAAATTTATTCCGGGGCACTCAGGAGTAAAGAAGAAAAGTCCCAGCTACTAAGCCACTGATAATACTTCTTGAAGACAGCCACACTGACATCAAAGAATAGTATTCTCCTCCATTTTTTACACCTCCACGAAGGGGAAAAAAACATGAAGTAAGGCATAACAGTGGGAGCATAGTACACTTGCATAATTGAAAAGTAAATATTAAAATATTATATGAATGTCCTTGAAATGTTGAAACTCTTTGAAGATCTAGGAAGTATCATTTTAGGCAAATGTTAGCTTTGGAAATCTTACATACAATGTAATAGTTGAAGAATCAGTTAAATATCCATAAGTCAATGTTTTAAATTAAATTAGTCTTTTATTTTTATAAAATTTGTTAATCTAATAAGTAGAACTGACTTGGTTTTCTAGGAAGATGACTTATTAATATAATCAGCAATTTCTAAGTTAATTTTTCCCACTTGACTAGTCATTGCTCACACTGGCATTTTTTTCTATGCAATATTCCTTTGGCTTTTTCAGATTGGAAGTCACAGAGTTTAAAAGTTTAAGTAACTAGTTGTCCTGAAACTTTTGCTATAATTTTATATCAATATTTAACTCGACACTACAGACAAGTACCCTTACAAGAGCTATATGCAATGTGTGACAAGTGTCTGCAGTATATGGCAAACACAAGTGAAATTAGCTTTCATTTCTCAAAGAAGTCATTAAATAGTAGATGTGAACAATATAAATTACTTCCTATCATCTTTTACATTTGATCAGTTGAAAGATCCTTTCTAAAATGTGGGGAAGAGGAAAGATACTGGAAGTGTGACACCCCTTTATGTTCAATTTGAAGATTTGTTCAGTTTTATATTCACACTACTTTCTGATGGTCTGTCTTTTCAAAATGGGATTCTTTTGATAGTCAAGCATCTTATATCTTATTCCTCCAGGCTAAGATCTCTATTTTCACTGCTTCCTTTGGAAAATTAGAATTTCTGTCTTCCACAATATTAAGTAGAGACTTTTTAAAAGTGCTTATGACTGGACAAAAAATGCATTAGCTGTGAAAACTGACAAGAATTTGTGCTTGTGGAGACAGCAAGAAGCAGCAAAGCCTCTATTACTAACATATTGCTTTTTATTATAAAATATGAGTCCCATTAGTTTTGGGCTACAGCCAAATCTCTTCTCATAGTTTAAAAAGGAGTTACCTTGACAAGATTCAACTTAAATCACATCTTGATCTATATTATGAACACAAAAGAATCCTTTCTGCATTAAAGTGACAATAAGAGTCTGATTTATAATCCTAAAGCAAAGAAATTTGAAGTAAATCAAATGACTTAGCACTTGTTCCTAGGGTTTTGTTTTTTTTTCCAAGGGTGTGAAATCTAAGAGGAAAAAAAGAATAAATGTTACACCAAGCATTCCGTCTGTATACTCAAGGTATTATGTGGGTATATTAAACGTGCATTTTCAGTTTAGCGAATTTCAAAGAGATAATTCGAAGTTAGATAACTGTCTTTTCAGAACTACAATGTAATTTGTGGTGTTTCTGTAATTTTGAGTGTGCCTTCTTCTTCCTTTTTTCCTTTCCCTTCCCTTCCTCCCTCCCTCCTTCTGTCTTTTCCTTCCTTCTTTCCTTCTTTCCTTCCTTCGTTCCTTCCTTCCTTCCTTCCTTCCTTCCTTTCTTTCTTCCCTTTTCTAGAAGCATATTGTGGAAATACATGCTTCATAATCTTAAATACTCTCCAGAAAATTTATTTCTGGTTAACTTAGGTTAACCACCTAGTATTTCCCTACGCATCTAAGCATAATAACCGCATGTAAAAGAAAGTATCTCTCCAGAACAAAAAAAGAGACAAACATTTATTTATTTAAAAAATATTCAATCAGTATCAAAAACTGTTCTGAATGCTGGCAAATGAGATGAAATCCATGCCCTCATGGAACTTACATTAAGGGTGAGTCTGCCATAAACATGACAATTATATAATATTTATCTCCTGTGTAGGAGGGTAGATCAGAGAATGGAAGAAAAAGATGGGGCCATGATATTGGGGGAAAACTTTTGAAAGAAAAATTATTAAACTGTGCTTTTGGGGTATACTGGGGGCAAAATACGCTCTAAGCTGAAGAAATGCCATGAATAAAAGCCTGTCTTGAGGAAGTATGAAAAAAGAGCAGCTCAGGAAAGATGGTGAAGAGACGTTATGGCATATTAAGCTAGGCATTTGAGATATCTAGGGTAAGTGCTACTTAGACATAGTTTTGAAACCATAATTCAAGACTTAGGATGACATTCTCTGTAAAAATACAAACCATCTGAAAAATGATGAGTATGGACAGTAAGAATATCTTCATTCTTCCTCAGACACCACATTTCACAGGCAAGAGGAGAAGTGAAACTTCATTCACTTTTTTTTCTTTATTTTGGTCCTCGGACATCCCCCAATCTCTCTAATACGCACATGGATAAATGCTCTCTAAATACTGACTTAGTAGAAATAACTAAAAATAATACAGTAAACTAAATTCAATACTCTTAATATTTAATAGATTGATATGCAAAAAATTTTACATACTAGTAAAATCTGTAAATATTTTTGCAAAATTTTGGTAATACTATAAGTTTTTTTGTTATTATTTTTTTTTTCTTAGAAATGTTTAGAGGATGATTTCTTGGTCAGCACTCTGCTAAAAGTCATATTACAATTTGAAAGTGCTTAAATAGTTTCATAAGCAATATAATATGTTTTTAAATTATTAATGCTGCTTCTATGTCTTATTAAAATTAACAAAACAAAAGTTAGTATTTGAATTAAACTGCCAACACTGTTCTGCAGTGGTACTACAACTATTTTGCTTGTGAAAAATCTAATATGATACCTTTATTCTAAATTACTATGATATATATAGAGTTCCACATATTTACTTACATCAAAGTGAAATATGAGACCTTTACTTTGCTACTATATAGTTTTTTATCATGGAAATATTATGTTAAAGTTAACGAAAAGAAATACAAAGAAAGTAAATTATGAATAACTGTGTTTTGTCATTATTTTTAATGGAAAAAACTGCAATTACTTTTGCACCAAACTAACAGCAGTCCTTCTTACTACTACCAATACAAGTGTATATTCTAATGAACATAAAACACAGGAACTAATTAGGATTGGACCCAAATTCTCAATACAAGGATTAGGACTAACTTTTGTTTTACTTGTTTTTAAACAATAAACAGGGAGCCTTTGTCATGTTTATATAAAATCAATAGATTTTACTCAAGCAAACAAGTCTACAGTGAAAGAACTGTTGAAGTAGAAGATAATTTTTAGGTGATGAAACTCCACACTTTTCAGGAAGCATGTTTTATAGATTGAGAAGCTAAGATTCCCCCATAATTTGTTAGTGCCAGAGCTGAGACCCCATCCAGCTCTTACCTATAGTGCAGGGGTTTATCCACCACATCACACTGAATGATATACCTTGGGACTGCAGAGTTCGTGTTTAACACTGTGATGATGACTATAATAACATAGCTTTTACCAAGGACAGCCCAAAATGATAAACCATATCTCTGCCATGAACATTTTTAACGCAACTCAGTGAAGGATTCTCTCCTTACCTTTGAAGGATTCTGCCTTATGTTATGCTACTAGATGACGTAGGTATTATGAAGAGAAAACCTGAAGAAATATACAAATATAAAAAATATACAATGAAATTATTTCCCTCAAACACATAATAATAACTGTAATATCATAATTATAATAAACTATATTTTAGTAAGAAATTATCTAGTATTATACAAGCAGATGAAGGAGACTCAATTGGATTCAAGACTGCTTTTGACTGTTAGTTTAACACTGCTACAACTGCGTCTACAAGCCACCAGCTTAATTGATTAATAGTCAATCATGTGTCAAATAGTTTAACCAAAATTGTTGCTTGACTTAGTGTATGAAATAGTTGATTGAGGGAGAATAATTAAAGTTGTCAAAGGATATAATCAATTACTTTTCCATAAAAAATATACATATCCCCAAGTATTTTTAGTAACTGTAAAGTAATACAAATAAGAATAGGCTCGAAAGTATAAGGTAAGGTTGAACCCAAGTTCTATCAATTCCCAGTTAAATGTCTTAAGCTAGGCTGTTAAATTGTTTGTCAAGTGCAGTCAGCCTTACCTGATTTATACGCCACAAGTTTAAGAGATTAATATGATAACATATTCTAAGTTGCTTATAAACAAAAACATAGTATATTTGCATTGGAGGCTATATGAATTGGTTGAAGAAATTGAAATAATCAAGGGGCTGGCAAAATGACTGAATAGGAACAGACCCAGTCTACAGCTTCCAGTGAGACCAATGCAGAAGGTGGGTAATTTCTGCATTTCCAACTGAGGTACCCAGTTTGTCTCATTGGGATTGCTTAGACAGTGGATGCAGCCCACGGAGGGCAAGCAGGGGCAGGGTAGGGTGTTGCTTCACCTGGGAAGTGCAAGTGGTCTGGGAATTCCCTCCACTAGCCAGGGGAAGCCATGCGGGACTGTGCCATTAGAGACAGTGCTATCTGGCCCAGATGCTATGCTTTTTCCAAGGTTTTCACAACCTGCAGACCAGGAGATTCCCTCAGGTGCATACACTACCAGGGCCCTGGGTTTCAAGCATAAAACTAGGCAGCCATTTTGGCAGACACCAAGCTAGCTGCAGGAGTTTCTTTTTTCTTTCTTTCTTTTTTTTTTTTTGTACACCAGTTGCCCTGGAACACCAGTGAGACAGAACGATTTACTCCCCTAGAAAGAGGGCCAAAGCCAGGGAGCCGAGTGGTCTCGCTCAGCAGATCCCACCCTGATGGAGCCCAACAAGTTAAGAACCACTGGTTTGGAATTCTCACTGCCAGCACAGAAGTCTGAAGTCAACCTAGAATGCTCCAACCTGGTGGGGGAAGGGGTGTCTGCCGTTACTGAGGCTTGAGTAGGCAGTTTTCCCCTCACAGTGTAAAGAAAGCCGCCAGGAAGTTCGAACTGGGTAGAACCCTCCACAGCATGGCAAAGCTGCTGTAGCCAGACTGCCTCTCTAGATTCCTCCTCTCTGGGCAGGGCATCTCTGAAAGAAAAGCACCAGCCCCAGTCAGGGGCTTATAGATGAAACTTCCATCTCCCTGAGACAGATCACCTGGGGGAAGGTGCGGCTGTGGGCGCAGCTTCAGCAGACTTAAACGTTCCTGCCTGTCAGCTCTGAAGAGAGCAGTGGATCACCAAGCACAGCACTTGAGCTCTGCTAAGGGATAGACTGACTCCTCAGGTGGGTCACTGACACCTATGCCTCCTGACTGGGAGACACCTCCCAGCAGGGGTAGACAGACACCTCATATAGGAGAGCTCCAGCTGGCATCTGGCGGGTTCCCCTCTGGGACGAAGCTTCCAGGGGAAGGAGCAGGCAGGAATCTTTGCCATTCTGCAACCTCTGCTGGTGATACCCAGGCAAACAGGGTCTGGAGTGGACCTCCAGCAAACTCCAGCACACCTGCAGAAGAGGGGCCTGACTGTTAGAAAGAAAACTAACAAACAGAAAACAATAGCATCAACATCAACAGAAAAGACACCCATGCAAAAACCCTATCTGGACGTCACCAACATCAAAGATCAAAGGTAGATAAATCCACAAAGATGAGGAAAAGCCAACAAAACAGGCTGAAAATTCCAAAAACCAGAATGCCTCTTCTCCTACAAAGGATCACAACTCCTTACCAGCAAGGGAACAAAAATGGATGGAAAATGAGTTTCATGAATTGACAGAAGTAGGCTTCAGAAGGTGGATAACAACAAACTCCTCCGAGCTAAAGGAGCATGTTCTAACCTAAGGAAAGGAAGCAAAGAGCCGGGCCTTGATAAATGTTACAGGAACTGCTAACTAGAATAACCAGTTTAAAGAAGAACATAAATGACTTGATGGAGCTGAAAAACACAACACAAGAACTTCATGAAGCATACACAAGTATCAATAGTCGAATAGATCAAGCAGAAGAAAGGATATCAGAGATTGAAGATCAACTTAATGAAATAAAAGGTGAAGACAAGATTAGAGAAAAAAGAATAAAAGGAACGAACAAAGCTTCCAAGAAATATAAGACTACATGTAAAGACCAAACCTACATTTGATTGGTGTACTTAAAAGTGACAGGGAGAATGGAACCAAGTTGGAAAACACACTTTAGGATATTATCCAGGAGAACATCCCCGACCTAGCAAGGCAGGCCAACATTCAAATTCAGGAAATACAGAGAACACCACAAAGATACTCCTCGAGAAGAGCAACCCAAAGACACATAATCGTCAGATTCACCAAGGTTGAAATGAAGAAAAATATGTTAAGGGCAGCCATAGAGAAAGGTCGGCTTACTCACACAAAGGGAAGTCCATCAGACTAACAGCAGATCTCTCTGCAGAAACCTTACAAGCCAGAAGAGAGTAGGGGCCAATATTCAACATTCTTAAAGAAAAGAATTTTCAACCCAGAATTTCATATCCAGCCAAACAAAGCTTCGTAAGCGAAGGAGAAATAAAATTCTTTACAGACAAGCAAATGTTGAGGGATTTTGTCAACACCAGGCCTGCTTTATAAGAGCTCCTGAAGGAAGCACTAAGTATGAAAAGGAAAAACCAGTACCAGCCACTGTAAAAACATATCAATCTGTAAAGACCATGGACACTATGAGGAAACTGCATCAACTAATGGGCAAAATAAGCAGCTAGCATCGTAATGACAGGATCAAATTCACACATAACAATATTAACCTTAAATGTAAATGGGCTAAATGCCCCAATTAAAAGAACAGACTGCCAAATTGGATAACGAGTCATGCCCCCTCTGTGTGCTGTATTCAGGAGACCCATCTCATGTGCAAAGACACACATAGGCTCAAAATAAAGGAATGCAGGAATATTTACCAAGCAAATGGAAAGCAAAAAAAAAAAAGCAGGGGTTGCCATCTTAGTCTCTTATAAAACAGAATTTAAACCAACAAAGATCTAAAAAAGACAAAGAAAGGCACTACATAATGGTGTAGAGATCAATGAAACAAGAAGAGTTAACCATGCCAAATATATATGCACCCAATACAGGAGCACCTAGGTTTATAAAACAAGTTCTTAGAGACCTACAAAGAGACTTAGAGTCCCACATAATAATAGTGGGAGAGTTTAACACTGCATTGCCGATATTAGACAGACCAACGAGAAAGAAAATTAACAAGGATATTCAGGACTTGAACTCAGCTCTGGACCAAGCAGACCCAATAGACATCCACAGAACTCTCCACTACAAACCAACATAATATACATTCTTCTCAGCACCACATAGCACTTATTCTAAAATCAACCACATAATTGGAAGTAAAGCACTCCTCAGCAAATGCAAATGAATGGAAATCATAACAAACAGTCTCTCAGACCACAGTGCAATCAAATAGAACTCAGGATTAAGAAACTCATTCAAAACAGCATAACTACAGGGAATATGAACAACCTGATCCTGAATGACTACTGGGTAAATAATAAAATTAAGGCAGAAATAAATAAGTTCTTTGAAACCAATGAGAACAAAGACACGCTGTACCAGAATCTCTGGGACACAGATAAAGCGCTGCTTACAGGGAAATTTATAGCACTAAATGCCCACATGAGAAAGCAGGAAAAATCTAAAATTGACACCCTAAAATCACAACTAAAAGAACTAGAGAAGCAAGAGCAAACAAATTCAAAAGCTAGCAGAAGAGAAAATATAACTAAGATCAGAGCAGAACTGAAGGAGATAGAGAACTAAAAAACCCTTCAAAAAATCAGTGAATCCAGGAGCTGATTTTTTTAAAAACATTAACAAAATACATAGGCCACTAGCCAGACTAATAAAGAAGAAAGGAGAGAAGAATCAAATAGACACAATAAAAATAATAGAAGGGATATCACCACTGATCCCACAGAAATACAAACTACCATCAGAGACTATTATAAGCACTTCTTTGCAAATAAACTAGACAATCTAGAAGAAATGGATAAATTCCTGGACACATGCACCCTCCCAAGACTAAACCAGGAAGAAGTCAAATCTCTGAATAGACCAATAACAAGTTCTGAAATTGAGGCAGTAATTAATAGCCTACCAACCAAAAGAAGCCCAGGAGCAGATGGATTCACAGCCACATTCTACAAGAGGTACAAAGGGGAGCTGGTACCATTCCTTTTGAAATTATTCAAAACAATAGAAAAAGAGAGACTCCTCCCTTATTCATTTTATGAGGCCAGCCTTATCCTGATATCAAAACCTGGGAGAGACACAACAAAAAAAGAAAATTTCAGGCCAATATCCCTGATGAACATCACTGCAAAAATCCTCAATAAAATACTGGCAACGAATCCAGCAGCACATTAAAAAGCTTATCCACCACAATCAAGTTAGCTTCATCCTTGGGATGCAAGGCTGGTTCAACATGTGCAAATCAATAAACGTAATCCATCACATAAACAGGGTCAATGACAAAAACCACATAATTATCTCAATAGAGGCAGAAAAGGCCTTCAATAAAATTCAACAGACTTTCATGCTAAAAACACTCAGTAAACTAGGTATGGATGGAATGTATCTCAAAATAACAAGAGCTATTTATGACAAACCCACAGCCAATATCATACTGAATGGGCAAAAGCTGGAAGCATTCCCTTTGAAAACTGACACAAGACAAGAATATTCTCTCTCACCACTCCTATTCAATATAGTATTGAACATTCTGGCCAGGTAAATCAGACAAGAGAAAGGAACAAAGGGTATTCAAATAGGAAAAGAGGAAGTCAAATTATCTCTGTTTGAAGATGACATGATTGTATATTTATAAAACCCCATCGTCTCAGCCCAAAATCTCCTTAGGCTGATAAGCAACTTCAGCAAAGTCTCAGGATACAAAATCAATGTGCAAACATCACAAGCATTCCTATACAACAATAATAGACAAACAGAGAGCCAAATCATGAGTGAACTCCCATTCGTGATTGCTACAAAGAGAATAAGATACCTAGGAATACAACTTACAGGGATGTGAAGACCTCTTCAAGGAGAACTACAAACCACAGCTCAGGGAAATAAGAAAGGACACAAACAAATGGAGAAACATTCCATGTTCATCGTGGGAAGAATCAATATCGTGAAAATGGCCATAATGCCCAAAGCAATTGATAGATTCAATGTTATTCCCATCAAGCTACCATTGACTTTCTTCACAGAATTAGAAAAATCTACTTTAAATTTATATGGAATCAAAAAAGAGCCTATATAGTCAAGACAATTCTAAGCCGAAAGAACAAATCTGGAGGCATCACGCTACCTGACTTCAAACTATGCTACAAGGCTACAGTAACCAAAACAGCATGGTACTGGTACCAAAACAGATATATAGACCAATGGAACAGAACAGAGGCCTCAGAAATAGTGCCATACATCTACAGCCATCTGATCTTTGACAAACCTGACAAAAACAAGCAACGGGGAAAATATTCCTTATTTAATAAATGATGTTGGGAAAACTGGCTAGCTATATGCAGAAAACTGAAACTGGACCCCTTCCTTACGCCTTATGCAAAAATTTAACTCAAGATGGATTAAAGACTTAAACATAAGACCTAAAACCATAAAAACCTTAGAAGCAGTCCACAATATTTCTTGACAAGATGTCACCAACAATGTTTCACCAATCTTTGATGCTAATTCTGTGAGATTAGAAAGCCAAAATAAGGATAATGGAAAGATCAACATGAAAATCTTAGCTGTAGATTACAGTAAAACCAAATAGCAGCCAGGAGATATGTTCTGGAGAAACTGAAACTACCTGAAATTTCCATTTCTCCACTGTATTAGGAATTTGAGGACAGAGGTCAAAATTTTGGGGAAATAAAAATAAATAGTAACATGAATTCCACAGTGCTGATTCCATAGTCACTTGTATTTCTATGAGAAATACAATGCATGGGTTTTTTTTTTATTAGGATTGATCTTTATTTTTATTTTTACTTGTTTGAATGTGATATAGTAAATAGATGATCACATTAGGTAATGATTTTGAGGAAGTAATGTTCCCAGCACCTAAACTATTCCTGGATCTTGGGAAATTGTGATTGCATTTCTTCATTTTTAGATTACAATGAACCAAGTTACTTAAAAACAGAATATATGCTTTGAAATGTTTTGTACACAAGAGTGGGCACTGATGGTTATAGGTACAAATCACAGTTCCATGTTTAATGTTAGTCACTATTTGAAATTATCTAAATTCTCAAACCAAATCTCAACATATGCTTTTCTTACACAACAAACCAGAATTTGATTTTCATCTCATTTATCAAAATTTTACTCCATTGCCTCTATGTTTTGCAAGCCAAATATCAGGGAGGTGGGGAGTTACGCATTTAGCTTTTAAAACTAAATGTTAAAATAATCTCAAAGCATTTGATTGGATTATAAGCAATAACTCCCAAACTGAGTCAATCTAAATTATTAAAAATAATAGCTTTCATTTGCTTTTCTACTTAAAACAATGTGGTGTTAGAGAATGGAAATGTAGTATCAAGTCTGAAGAAGGCAACTTTTGAAAACAGAGGTGCTCCATCTATAGAAAAATCTTTTCAATTAAATCTGAACTATTTTATGGATGCTGAGAGTTTTCAGAACAATATAAGTTAATGGCTTAAAATTAGGACTTTAACAATATAATAACATACCATGACTAATCATTTTTTTATTCTTGTAAATAAATCATCTTGTAACTCATGAAAGTAACAGATATTGAAATGGCAACTAGGGAAATAATTTAAATTCCTTAAATTATATACATATATTAGCAAAGTGACTCAAGATTGGATTATTGGGCTACAAATGTAATTGATAAACTAAATCCATGTGGGAAGCTATTGCTCATTTGATATAAATTATTTTATTCCATGATATTTTTAGATAAGAGCCAAAAGAATTTATTAAAATTTGAATTCTACTGCTAACCATGTTTTCCTTTCAGATACACTATTTTTATCAATCTAAATTAAATTTTAGGTAAAGAAAATATTGTAAAACTTGATTGAGGGTTTTAAATGACAGGAACAAATTATTTCTATGAATAAACACTTGGTATAAAAAAATATGTAATCTTTTAGTTCATGTGTAAGCGAAGTACATTGTTAACAATAATGATTTGGGTGGTGTTTAATTTTTAATGTAGTTTCTCTGTTTACATAAATAAAAATTGTTTCATCTTATTTAAATTTCTTGGTCGTGAAATCGTGTTTTTAATATGTTTATGTGATAGTTTAAAAGAATTTGTCAAATTCACATAGTTTCTATGTGATTGACATTAAAGCTTTTATTGCTAGTACTTAATGAGAGCTTTGGATTAGATGTGTCAGAAGTACCTTCTAATTAAACAATAAAATAGAAGAGTTGATTGTAGCTGAATGGATTTTGTTAAAATACTTAAGATTTTGCTTTCAAAGAGTTATATGAAGACTTACATAATTTAGTAAGTGTAGTTCTAGTACAAGGAAGAAAGGAATAGAGAATAGAAAAAATATTTTCTTACCCTACATAAAGTTACAAATATTCTCACTGCCATATGTTATATTTCTTTTGCTTGTTTGAAGTGTCTGTACCTCTTCCTCTAAACTGTACTTGTATAGTGTCGCTTCAACCGAGAATGCATTTTTATTGACAATATGTCACAAAATGTCATTACATTCATCTTGGTATCACAATACTTTGCTGAGTGAAGCATTATAAAGAGAAGGAGAAGGGAGCTTAGAATGCAGTGTAGACAGTATCCATTGGTTTATATAGATTACCTGATGTACTTACTCAACTGAAGAAGAAAGTATTTTCTTGGGGATCTTTTTATTCCAAAATTTTTAGGACAATTTTAAAAAGTGATAGACTCTTCTTCTCTAGTTTTTAATTAAAACAGTAAATTCTCAGTAGCTTTCTATTCATTCATCTGCTCATTCATTTCAAAAATATTATTGAGTACCTATTTCAAAAAGGCATTTTCCAAGATACTTATGATAAGAGAAATGAAAGGAGCTTTCATATTTCTGGTCCCCATTGCGCAGGTAGATGGTAGTGACATTAATCCAGGTAGGGGATGCAAGAAGGGGAATAAGAATTTTTTAGCAATATTTTTCTTTGACCTCTTACTCTATTTATAACAGTTTGCTTGAGAGCCAAAAAAGTATAATAAATTAAACTTGTTAAATTAGCTTGGAAGGTCTAAAATTATATTTTTCTTGAGTTTATTTCATAAAGCTTTAATTATCAAGATATTTATGGATTTCCTCTCTCTTTGTTACTTGTAAATTTCTGTAGTTTTGAATGAGCCTGAAACTCCAAAATGAAAATCCGTATGTAACCAGCAAAAGAGTCTGACCGCTCACCACTTTTAGAAAGAAGCCAAAATAATAATAGATGTGATTAAAAAAAAAAAAAAAAAAAAAAAAAAAGAGAGAGATCAAGACTTTTTATTTGTGCCAGCAAGGGGAAGAGCAGAAAACAACTCCATTCTTCAACTTGTAGAGGGAATGCAGAGGTTTTTAGAGAAAGGGTCGCAGGTAGGTACTACGAGGTGCCAAGTGGTGTGACTCGCTCAGATGGCTCATCTTGCGTTATTGTTCCATCTGGTGAAAGGGCTGGCACCATCATGGTCCTACCAGGTTATAAATTAATTATAGTCAATCTTTCATTTATTTTTTTTTTTATTTTGTTGTTGTTGTTGAGATGGACCCAGGCTGGAGTACAGTGGCGTGATCTCGGCTCACTGCAATCTCCGCCTCCTGCGTTCAAGCGATTCTCCTGTCTCAGCCTCCCGAGTAGCTGGGATTACAGGCATGAACCACCACGCTCGGCTAATTTTTTGTATTTAGTAGAGAAGGTTTCACCATGTTGGCCAGGCTGGTCTCGAACTCCTGACCTCAGGTGATCCACCTGCCTCAGGCTCCCACAGTGCTGGGATCACAAGCGTGAGTCACAGTGTCCCGCCAATCATAGCTAATATTGTAATCAATCTTCAGCTGGGAGTTGGTTCCTGCATTGAAGTAATCTTTTGTTGGAGAGAGAATTCAGCGGTGTCTTGTCCATATCAGGATCTGACCCTTGAAGCTTCTAAGGAAATAGATGACTATATAAGTGAGTATGGTGTGTGCTTAAAAAAAATCTAGGTAAATAAATGTGCATAAGTCATGGGGGCATAAAGTGGAAAAGGGAAGGGAAAGAAAACATTTCGGGGTTGTAAGGTTTATCTCAGAGCTACATCTTGAAACTGGGTTAGGGTTAGGTGGAAAGGGGAAAGGAAAAAAAAGTTTGAAAATGCAGTTTGAGGCTAAGTTGCTAAGCTTTTCAGTTACACATATATTAAAGGAAAATATTTTACCTGACCCTATTCCAAAAAAATTAAAGACACACTAAGAAAAGTATTTTTCCCTGCAGATACTTTTAATTTGCTCTCCCATCTTATTTAATTTTCTTTGGTAGTGTCAGATTCTAGATCTTAGGAAAAAGTTATTTAATCTCTTCAGGCTTAGATATTTTTTCTTTCAACTTTAGCAAGACATATAATATTTACAATTACAGTAGTACACAATTTCGTGAAATTGTTTAAATGTAGTAGTAATGCTCATAATATACGGTAGATTTGCATTAAACTAAACACATCTCCCTTTTATTTCACATGGTTACTAGAGTTGTAAGTAAGGGACACATCTAGAATAACTGAACTTGATCATACCATAAAATGTGCCTCCACAGTGTCTTGTGCATATAAAACCGTAAAATAATTTATTTTTCTTTCAATTTGTGATATACTTTAACACATAGATGGTGCTTAATCCCTCTGACTCTCTCATCAATCAAAGAATATGGATCAAGGGCACTATGAGGCCACAGTACTGGAAGACAGACACTTTAGATACAAATGAAGATTAAATCTTCCTATATTCACATAACGGGACCAATTTTAATTCCCTCTTTTAAACTGTGCTTTATAGCTGATACAGGAAGAAGGAGAACAAGAAAGATCAGGAGAAAGAGATGGAGGCACAGGAGGAACAGGTGGAAGAAAAAGGGGAGGAGGAGAAGGAGAAGGAGAAGAAAAAAAAGAAAAAGAAAAAAGCACTTGTAATGGGCTAAGTAATTTTCAGGCATCACTAAATTATATTTAATCCTCATTAGAAAATGATATTATTATTGTAACTTAAAATGATAATTAGTGTTGTAATATTCACTATATGCTAGAAATGTTCTAAGGAATTTACATGTGTTAATTGAATGTAATTTTGCAATAATAAGTAGGTACTATTGTTATTCTCAATGCTGTAGTCATCATAATGCTATATTGCACAGTATTCATTAAAAGTGTAGACTCTGAACTTCCTCCATAGGACGAGAGAAATAAGCAGGCATTCCCAGGTATGACTTTTCTTTCTATTATGTAATCTTATCTTTCTTATTGTCTCAATCTTTGCAGGGGTCACTGCTCATTTATTCCCCAAAATGTAAAAACCCAAAGACTGTGTGACTGCATCAGACTTATTGAATTGTTGAGCTACCAAAAGAGAAATAAAACATGGAATGGCAATGTTTTATGCTAATGAACATAATGTTCATATTAATGGCTATTAATATGACTGTCTTGGGGAACAACTGAAAGGGAAAAAAGTAGATCTTTAAAACAGATGCACTTACATATACATTAATTTCTAGCCCTTTGTAATGTCTTTAGCTATGCCACCTATGGAAATACTGCCTCCTTCTTCAAAATTCCTTAGCATTGAATCTTTACCTGTCTTTAAAGAAACCCCTAGGGTTGTTGCAGTTCAAGCTCACCCTTAGGCATGAATGTATATGCTGCAGCTTATTCTGTTATTCAACTTAAGCCCTTCAAGTATAGCTCTCTGAATTTTCTCTGCCAAAAAAAGTAGATATGCAGGCTCATTCTTTTTGACTGTAAGTTAACTAGGACTTAACACAAAGCAAGTAAACACATGTGCATGTGTACACACATTTCTAAAGGAAAAATATAATTCTCAGAAATAGGACTATGACAACTCATTAAAAAAATTCTTTCTGTATTGTATACATTTAAGGTGTATAACATCGTCTTTTGATATTCTTAACATACACATACATAATGAAGTGATTACTACAGTCAGGCAAATTAATATATTAATCATCTCATACAGTTACCCTTCTTACAGTGGAGTACCTAAAATCTACTCTCTTACCAAATTACCAGCACATAACAGTATATATTAATTATGGTCCTCATGTTGTACATTAGGTCTCTAGACATATTTACCACCATAACTGCAACTTCATAGCTTTTAACCTATGTCTTCCTATTTCTCGCTGCCTTTCACCACCTCCCAACCACTACTTTACTCTCTGCTTCTATGTATTCAATCTTTCTCTTTTTTCTTTAATTCCACATGTAAGCGAGATCATGTATCATTTTTTCTTTCATCCTTTCCTTTGTGTCTGGCTTATTTCACTTATAAAAAAGTCTTCTAGGTTCATGCATGCTGTTAAAAATGGGAGGATTTCCTTTTTTAAGGCAGAATAATATTCTGTTATTTACATAACATTTTCTTTATCCATTTATTCCTTGATGGGCACTTAGTTTGTTTTCTTATCTTGGCTTTACAAGGTGTCTTTACAAGATGTCTTTACAAGGTGCTGATTTAATATCCTTTTGTATATATTCAGCAGACGGATTGCTGGGTCACATGATAGTTCTACTTTAAATGTATTTACAGACCTCCATACTGTATTCCATTGTGGCTGCACCAATGTACATTCTCACCAACGGTGTACAGGATTCCCTTTTATCTACACCTTCACCATCACTTGTTATTTTTTGTATTTTTTATAAAAGCCATAAAGGAAAGTATTTTCTAACTGCAATGTAGTCTGCCCAGTTTCTCCTGCCCACTGCTGAGATAGAATTTTATGTTTTATAATAGTAATAATTATTATTAGCAATGGAAGCTTATTTCCGTTCATCTTTCTTTCTTTACATTGAGATTTTTAGGTACATTAGAATATATCAAAAATCAAAACACTAGAGATATCTACCCTTTGATAACAACCCCTTAGTTATACAAATATTTAAAATTATTTTTTAACTTTTTGGGCCATTTCGATTTCTCTGAGAAAGACTTCCGTGGTAAACTTAGTTTATGGGAATTAAACACTGTGAATATCCACTATATTTTCATTCAAGAAGCCCACAGGTATTATGGGAGAATTTTCTTTCACATACGTAGTTTTACAAGGCATGTATCCTATAGAGCTATTTGTTGTTGTTGTTGATTGATTCATTCATTGGAGTGCTGGTTAAAGTAGATGGTCTAATTTAGTGATGCTAAGCTAATTCTGACAAGGCGAGAAATTCTGCCTTACCTTTCTTTGAATGCTTCAAAATAGCTGGCATGTTGCTTTGCATATAGTAGAATTTTAATGACTACTTATTCATTGAAGGATGACCCATTGCCAGAATTTTGCTCTCTGAGGTGTCAATGTGAGTTGTTGATGACTGTGAGGATAATGAAGAGATTGTAGGTAGGGATCCTTAGAGGCAGCTCTTACACTCTTGCAATAATCCAGACAATAAACTACTTAGCCCTGTGTTAAGTGAAGCAATGTCAACAAGAGTGAGAAGAAATGAGGGAAAGAAACAAGGAGATAGAATTGAGTGTACTCATCAGCTGAGTGGATATGGACCCAAAGAAAGAAGAGAGACCACAAGCAATATGAAAGTTTTAAAAATGAGTGCCTGGTAGGGTGGTGATGCCTGTAACCAGAATGGACCCTGAGAGGACGTTTAAGAATTGGGGAAGATGAAGCACGTCAAGTGTTGGGTATGCTGAGTTTAAGGTGTCAACTATCACCCATATAGAAATGCCTAGCATATAAAAGTGCTCACCAGGCCAGGTGTGGTGCCTCATGGCTGTAATCCCAACACTTTGGGAGCCGAGGCAGGTGGATCACTTGAGACCAGGAGTCCAAGACCAGCCCGAGTGACATGGTAAAATCCCATCTCTATTAAAAATTAAAAAAAAATTATCTGGGTGTGGTGGCATGTGCCTGTAATCCCAGCTACTCAGGAGGCTGAGGCAAGATAATCTCTTGAACCCCAGAAGTGGAGGCTGCATTGAGCTGAGATTGCACCACTGCACGCCATCCTGGGCGACAGAGTGAGTCTGTCTCAAAAACAAAACAAAACAAGTGCTCACCTGAATTTTGTTTAAATGGGTGATAATAGAACATAGAGTTGGATTCAGTCCTTGTATCATTCACTTATTGGCAGTGTGATTTCAAACAAAGCAATTGTTTTATTGGCCATATGTTTTTGTGTTAAAAAGGCAGTATTGAAGTGCATGAGTTCTAAGTACGTTTCAGCCTTAATATTTGCTTTTCTATATGACCTTCACAGCAAATTGATAGTGCACAAATAATTTAAGATATGCAACTTCAGAACAGAGGATTTTAAAATCTCACCTTGGTTTAAATAACACAAGTCCCAGTTCTATATCCAAAACTCTTGGGGCTAGATATGTTAATAATTCTAAATTTGTCAAGTTTTATAAGGTTAATTTGATGCATATATTGTGTATTGTGTAATTCTCACAGTAGGATCAGCACTTCACATAGTAATCAAACCTTAATATATATGCAGCAAAATGTATGCATATCACTCTAAGCTAGATAAACACTATAAATAGCAATACATTTATTCAGGAAAGGTAGGTTATGTTAAAAAAAAAAGTAGTTTTCCAAAAGATTTGTGATTTTGATGCTTTTTGGATTTCAGAGTTGTGGATGATAGACTGTGTACTTGTAGTGTAGATTCATGATACATTTAATAAAATATTGTTTTCAAAGATCTTAGTTCTGTGCAAAATCTTAGTTAATTTTCTCAAATTTTACCGTTAAAATATGTTAGCATTAGATACCAGTAAGAGAGAATGTTTTCTGTTCACCTATATAAACGTGCATTAGCAAAATGCAGAATGGAAGCTATAAAAATATCTTATAATCCACATACAATGACCTTTAAAATGAATATTAGGTTGGTGCAAAACTAATTGCATTTTGCTATTCTTTTGGTTAAAACCACGATAACTTTTGGAACAACCTAATAATATAAATTGTGAAAGTAATAATGAAATCATAGTGTAAATATTAGCTGTGGAATGCATATCTGGTTAAGATATGAATATCAATAATATTATGACATTTAAACACATGAATAGATTTTAAAATCTATGCTCATTTTAGACACAGAAATTCCCAAGCCCACAGTTTTCCTCTCTTACTTAAAGTGTTCTATTCCTGAACTTCCTTGTTTACCATGCAGCTGCTACTATCCCCTTGTACATTATTAATCAATTATTTTCTATCAGGACAAATACCTGTATATAAGGACCTTTTTATGCAACTTTAAAAAAGGATACAGCCATGTTTAAGTATTCCTAAACTTTGGGCGTAATAGACACCTGGCCATTGCTAATAAATACCAATTGTTACCGTAAATACATATGAAATGAAACAATTAAATATATAAAATTGTTTAAAAACCCACCCTGTGGAGTACTGTGGAAATCACTGCAAACTCAGGAACAAATACCACTGGATCTAAATAATAATCCCCACAATGGTTCTTGGAGTTCACAACACACAAAACTACTAATAATTTTTTCATTTGAGCAATCCAATTTTCTCTTTATTTTGCCACAATTTCTATGGAAGTAAGTTAGATCTAAATAAACAATTATTTATCCAGTTATTGCATGTTGATGACGCATAAAACTAAGTTGTCCTCCAAAGAGAAATAGTATCAGAACATAAAATTTAGTTGAAGATGTTACAGAAAAAGAGTGATTTTATTATTGTTCTGGCTATAAATCAGAGTAAGAGTAATTTTTAAATATATGAAATCTTATAACAATGATAAATTTAAAAGTGCTGGTTATAAAATAAATAGATCTAGCTGAACAAATAAAAAATGTTTGCTGCCAAATAATATCTTAATTTACAGAACTTAAAACTATACACCTAAGCTCTGGAGTATTTTAGTTTTTTAAAAAAAAATTTAATGAGGCAAATACTAGTTTTTTGTTTGTGTTTTTAGTAAAAGACCCTTTAAGTCACAAAAAACAAGCTAAAAAGCTTAAATGAATTTCTGAGAAATGCAATATATATTTACCTGAACATGATTAGAAACCAAGATATTATTTTGACATATATGTGTACTTAAAGCTAATTTAAGCATATCTTCCAAAGAGTAAAATCATAAGAAAAAAAGTATTTATTCAAATAGGAAAGCCAGAAATTGAGGGTCATAACTTAACTGTCCTAGATGTCATCAAAAAAGCTGTCAGAAAACTCTACTCATCTAAGATAAAATATTTTCTTCAGTAAATGTTTTAGTTGTGTAGCCACATTTTTTTAGATTCAGGGTTTTTATACTGTAAAACAATTGTTGTATATTAAAAATATTCTTGGAATTATTTTTGCATATCTGAGATAGTGTAGTCCTGACTGAAGGAAGAAATCAACTAAAAGTTTCTTAGCATGCTTTCAACTCTGGAGGATTACAATTCCATTTAGCCTTCAGATATTTCCTCCTCAGTATGACATAAAAGCTACATCTAAAAATCTAAGTAAGTAAATCAGAATAAATATATTGAGAAGTCAAGAAGCTTTTATTTTCAATGGTATAACCTAACAGTCTTTTATCTAGCGTCTGAATAGTACCTGGCATAATACTTAGAATAGTATAGACATCAATGAAGTCTGATTGCATGCAGAAAATATACTTGGTCTCAATCAGAGTTTAAATGTCAATCTCCAAAATGTAATGAGTTTCACAATCGATTCATCATGGAATTGTCCAGAAACAATAAGTGTATAGAAAATTTGCTGTATACTGTCCCTCAAACAAGGGAGTTAATATATGTTTCATGCAAGTTGATTCTTTTCCTTTAACTTCAGAGATTTTTTGTAAGCTAACATCTCTTCTGAAGACAGATTGATAATAACTTATGACTTTGAGGTCTTAGGCCAGTCTATGATATTATTGCCAGTTCAGAGAAAATTGTCTTTTGAATGACGTGCAATCTAACCTTCAACACTAATCATTTAGTAGGCCTAGCTAGTGTGGAGTTCAGATATTAAGAATACCCAGATTATAGATGCTATTCTTTTAACTCCCTCTTCTTGAAAAACCAAATCTATGCTTTAAGATTCATATCGAAACTCTATTAAAAAAATGAAGGGCGAGTCAATGAACTTTCATGTTTCTGTATAGAATTTATACCCCAAATACAGCAAGAATAAAACTTAGAAAAATATTATGAATGTTTTATGGTCATTCAAAATCTATTTAATATAGTAAAAAATTGCCTATGTTTTTACAAGGTGGAAATATTGTCATTTATACAGCAAAAATATATTTTTGTGTTTTAGTCAGTGTTTAAGAAAATCTTGCAAAATTGAAGATGTATAACCTTCCATCTAGACACTTGATTTAAAAATAATATTAAAGTATCACTTCACAGAACAAGTTTTCTCACTTGCATACGCATGTGATGATGGCAGATGGAGAAATGTCTAATGAAACTACTGATTAAAGACCAACTTCAAGGATATTTGAAAGAAAGATACTTTAAAATATATAGATCTTAATTATTTTAATGTCTACTTCCAAAAGAAATCCAAAAGTCTCTGTCTTCTCATGTTTTCCTTGAAGAGAAAGTTCTATTTTAATAGGAAATATGCATAAATCCTTTTTAATGGTTAGTATAATTTTCTTCACAAATGGAATGATAGAATTCTGACTAGTATTATATTTGCTTTACATTTCTTTTTAACACCCGTTTAACCACAAATATCGGCAAACAAAGCTATTCAGATTAACTAAAACATTTCATCTACAACTTCAAATATTTTTTAGGTGAAAATTCATCTAAAGGGTTTGCTTCCTTATTTTAAAAAGTATTAACATTTCCCTGTTAGCTTATTTCTTTATATCTTGCTTGATTGCTTTATTTTCAAGAAAGTGTCATACTACAAAGAGTACAATTACCTTCAATAAAGAATAAAACATCATGAGGATAAATTGCAACTGTATCAATAGGAATTGGTAACTAGTATAGAAATATGATTCTTGCCCAGGGGAATAGTTAAAGTTGAATTGAGTTGATAGGAAGAAAATCCAAAGCAAGAAAAGCAAATCTGAATTCTCGTTAAATATTTTTTGGAAATAGAATTGAAAACAAAATTTTATCCCAGTTCAGAAATCCTCTGCAGAAAGGTAGTAGAGAAAGAAAACCTTTTTTATCGTTGTATATGTAAACATTACACTAGACTGTAATGAGCATCACAGGCAATCTGCTAGGAGATTATAAAAACAGAAATCTCACTCTTTATTAATAGATAGCCAAGAAGATACAACCCATTACCTATATGTTTTCAAGATACACAATAACTAGCTCTCAAATAAGAGGACTTGAAAACATCATTTGTCATACATAACCCACCTTAACTTTACGTGGTAATTAAAATGTCTGCCTGTGTTAGCTAAATAGTTTTACCTGAAAACGTACATACATACACACACACACACACACACACACACACACACACACACACACACACACCATTTTCTTATGACAGTAGGTAGTTTTGCAACTTGGGGCAAGGTGATCTCCATGAAAGCTAGGTTCCTATCCATCCGCAGAAACTGGCAGATAGGGGTGCTATCTTCCTGGATGGTTGTATATTAAAGAAATTGCTCCCAGGCTCTTGAGAAAGACATTATTGGGTCATGAAAGGCCAACAAAGGCCTATGTAGTCTTCAAAAGGATTTATATGCATTTCAAAGAGTTGAGAAAATACACATTTTTTTTCAAGCTAAAATGCTCTGAAAAAACAAAGAAGAGATAAAAATCTTTCATTTCTAACAGGAAAAAATCAAACCTCTTATTTTTAGTATGCATTTGTCCTAACAATACAAACTACTAAGATTTATTGAAAATAAATCATTAAAAGAGAAGTACTGATTTTTTAAGAATTATTAAAATCAAACTTAAAAAGCAAGTTTACTATGTCCCTTAATTCTTAAATATAAGCAAATTTGAAATTATATTCATTATTTCCACAAGAGATGCTGTAACCGCCCAAGGGGTTCACCTTGCCTGCTGCCTAGAAAAAGCCGATTCATCAAGACAGGAGAAAGGCAATGGCGAAAGAGTAATTCACGCAGAGCCAGCTATGCCGGAGACCGGAGTTTTATTATTACTCAAATCAGTCTCCTGGAGCATTTGGGGACCAGAGTTTTTAAGGATAATTCGGCGGGTGTGGGCTCCGAAAGTGGGGAGTGCTGACTGGTGGGGTTGAAGATGAAATCATAGGGGGTCGAAGTGAGTTCTTGCTGAGTTCTGGGTGGGATCGCAGAACTGGTTGAGCCAGATTATCAGTCTGAGTGGTGTCATCTGCTGCATCGGAATGCAGGGTCTGCAAAATATCTCAAGCACTGATCTTAGGTTTTGCAATAGTGATGTTACTCCTAGGAGGAATTTGGGGAGTTCTAGACTCTTGCAGCCAGGGGCTGCATGGCCCCCAACCCGTGAGATATCCAGTCTTTTAGCTAACTTGTTAGTCCTACAAAGGCAGACTGCTCCCCAGGCAAGATGGGATTTTTCGGGAAAGAGCTATTATCCGTTTTGTTTCAGAGTTTAAACTATAAACGAAATTCCTTCCCTAGACCAGTTTGGCCTACACCCAGGAATGAACAGAAAGTTTAGAGGTTAAAAGGAAGATGGGGTCGGTTAGGTCTGATCTCTTTCACTGACATAATTTCCTCAGTTATAATTTTGCAAATGTGGTTTCAATGCTATTCTTAATTTAAACACTGTCAAAGTTATTCTGTTACGGATCCAAGGATCCTTTGCAGTTTATGAATTTTCCTTTACCATATTCAAGACTTAAGCTAAGGAATTATGGGGGGAAAAAGAAGCCACCCTTGTAATTATTGATTTCTGAGATTTGAACTGATGAGTAGTTCATTTGGGGAGAAATCTAATCAAGTCTTAGAGATTCTGAACTGAATAGGATCCCCAGGATTTATCTTTTTTTTAGGTACCTTACTGATCAAAGTGAGGTGAGGCCTTTGGTTGCTAAGGAAAACTGAAGAAATATTAGATATCTATGAGTTAATTTCATTCTTCTTACAGATAAAATGGCAACCCAGATTATTTAATGGACTTTTTGTAGATGAAACTATGACTAGTACCTACATTTCTTAACTGAATAATGTTTCCTCATTATACCACATTGCCCCTTCATAGACTCTCATTCCTGATAATACACTCATCCCCATTATCAAGTGATAGGGTCTAAGGCCCCCTAGTGGATGCCTGAAACCCCCTGTAGTACCGAATCCTGTATATACTATGTTTTTTCCTATACACACAAACCTATAATGAAATTTAATTTATAAATTAGGCACAATAAGTGATTAACCATAATAATAAAATAGAACAATTATAGCAATATAGTAAAATAAAAGTTATGTGATATGGTCTCTCCCTCTGTCAAAATAATGTGCTGTACTTAGACTCTTCTTCTTCCTGAATCTGTGTAGGCTTTCCCTACTTCCAATAACTAGGTTGGTGTCACTCATTTCAGGGAATTCTTTGCTGATGTCTGTGTACATTCAGTGCTTTCTGGAAGAACACCTTGCCACCAATTGGAACACGTTGTCTGTTCATGTCTTCTCCCCACAAATTTAATGCCCATTCCATCTTTAATCACTTATCATGCACTTTTGTTTAACATTTGCAGTTTGAAGTGTGACAGCAAAACTAGCAAAAATTTTTTTATTCTTCTTCACAATTTTATAGATAGAAGATTCTTACCAAGGTTCTTAGCAACCTCTGCACAGGATTTTTTTTTTTTTTCTTTCTTTCTTTCTTTATTAAGTCAAGAAGTTTTGGACAGGCGTGGTGGCTCATGCCTGTAATCCCAGCACTTTGGGAGGCTCAGGCGGGCAGATCACCTGTGGTCGGGAGGGCAAGACCAGCCTGGTCAACATGATGAAACCCCATCTCTATAAAAAACAAAAATGCAAAAATTAGCCGGGCGTGGTGTTCCACATCTGTAATCCCAGCTACTTGGGAGGCTAGGCATAAGAATCGCTTGGACCTGGGAGGCAGAAGTTGCAGTGAGTCAAAATCACACCACTGCACTCCAGCCTGGGCAACAGAGCAAGACTCCATCTCAAAAAAAAAAAAAAAAAAAGAGAAAAAAAAGAAAAAAATTCAGCTTTTTACCTAAAGGAAGCACTTTAAATATTCTCTTCAGCACTCCAAATTGCCAGCATCATCACTCTTGCACTTTGGGGCCATTATTAAGTACAATATAGGTTACTTGACACCAACACTGCAATACCACCACAGTAGACCTAATCATCAAAAGGGCTACTAAGTGGCAAATGAGTTGGGAGCATGCACATGTGGCTACACTGGACAAAGTGTTGATTCGTATCCTGGGCAAGACAGAGTGGGACAGCACGAGATTTCATCACACTACTCAGAAAGGTGTGCAAAGTAAAATGTATGAATTCCTTATTTCTGGAAATTTTCATTTAATATTTTTAGACTGTAGCTGACCATGAGTAACTGAAGCAGTCGGAAGCAAAACCACACATAAGGCGGAATTACTGTGTATCTCTTAACTCCTCGCATAACCCAAAATGGAATCACAAGTTTAAGGTTCAATACATTGAAATAATTCTGTAGAACTGAATAATATCTTAGTATATTCTGTGAGAATTTATTCAAGAGTTTTAACATATTTTTTCATTCTCAGAATTTTCCCATTAGTTAAAATTCTTAGAATTTCTCTCCAGAATTTATTATTCCTTTTTAGTTTTTATACTGTGCAATGAGTTCAGAAGCCATGGCCTTTGAAGTATATGAAGACTGCCTAGGATGCTTTAAATTTTAAGGCATATTTAATATTATATGTTATTATATATGCATGTGTATTTACATAACACATCACTAGAAACATCAAAGGTTATTTATTTGGAGAAGGGTGGAAGGATAAAAGAAAGAGTGAAAACATACCAAAATAACTTTTCTCAATGCAACAGCATTCCTCTGGGTCTGTATTAATAGTGCAGCACCACTGGGCCATAGCTGGCTGCAGTGCTTAAGTGAGGGTATGATGTGGATTTGCTAAAAGTACTTCAGTTTGAAATGGAGGTTCTGCAATTCCTAGTTATTGATGGTATAGTTTGTAACATTATTTTTATTCAACCCTGACCAATGGAAAATTAAAACAACTTTGATCACTTTGGAAATTCTAGGCTTGGCTTTTCATTTGTAACTATCAATTATTTAAAGAATAGTTTAAAAGGGCTCTTGGAGCTCTTTTTTTGGGGAAAATTACAGTAATTTAGGTAGCAAATGTGAATGATCTCAAGTTTGTAGTTCCATATGGAATAAAAATGCCTTATAAAACAGTCACATTGCCATCTACTGACAGCTTTTTATAAAAGAACCAACTTTTTCTTGTTAGCCCAGCTGTCTGACTATGCACTTAAATGATCTATTACTTGACATGTGGCAGTATAAAAAAGGGGAAGCATAGTTATCCTTTACTCAATACATCTACTTGAAATAATCTCACCATTCACAGCAACCATTTCAAGCTATTCAATGTTTCACTTTTATATACTGCAATTAGATACATTTATTAATGGCATTATTGCATAGTATTTCATAGCTGGTAAAACTGTTTTTGGGAAAGTGACTACAGAGGGTATGTTAATAAATCGGCCCTGCATGTACAGTACATAGGGACTTGCTAATAGGATTTTCATAATAACAGCATTTATCTCACAGCACATTTTATAATACCAATCACTATGTAACAGCAGTGTTGTTATTACATTATGCGAAAAATAGGATGTGTGTTAAGGACATGCATTATAACCTGAAACACAAAAGAACAATGGTACTTGAAGTACTTGTGGATCAAACCATTTTCATTCACATCTTTTTTTTTTGGAAATTTTTTTGCTTCTGCTAGAGTTGATATAAGAAACACATCTAGTGCTGTTATAAAAAGATCAAAAATTTACATCAGTACTCCCAATGAACTAGTAGCTCTAGAGGGTAGCATCCTGATAAACAGTAACTATCATCCTATGGATGGTAATAACCAAGTCTTCCCATAGGTAGTAGTAATCGTCTCGCATACCAAATGCATTTCACTTCCCAATTTAATTCTGTAGAAGTATGTTATTAATTTATCTTTCTTCCATTTTCTAAGATGTGGAGCTTACAATTAAAATTTAACTTTAAAGTACAGTATTATCTTTCTACAAAAGTCTTGAGTACTTATATCAGTTTTTCAGATAACCACATGCTGTGCATGTTTTACAAATTGAAAAAAAAAAGAAAAAAAGAACATACACACATTTTGGCCATTCATAATAATAGCTGGCAAAATAATTAATACACAAAAGCTGAGCTATGACCCTTTTGTAACAATAACTATGTAACTCAGTTGCTCATAGTCTTCGCAAACAGCAGACTTTTTTTAACCTAAAATTGCTTAGAATAGCTTAAATATATTTAAAATTGATTCAGGAGATATATAGTTAGCTTATTGTTTTACTTGTTTTTACTTGAAATAAATCAATGAATGGAGAACATACATTACAGCAGAATTGAAAGCCATCCACTATTAAAGTAGGGCACACCATCATGTATTTTGTCATAACTGGCTCTACCTGGATTTATTATGAAATAGAGTGAGTTAAAGGTTTCCTTGACTGAGGATCCAAGAAAGCAGAACATTCTGCTCTGAGAACTCCAGCTGAGTTTGAATAAGAAATCATTCAAGAATAGATGAAAGGCCTAGATTTTGCTGCCTTTCAACTAGTTCTAAATTAATGTTAAAGATTTTTGCTACATTTCCTGACCTTGCAAAATAGAGTATTTTCAAATGATAATGTGGTTATAGCCACTATTCAAAAAATCAAGATAGAAAGATATTTAGGTCTTCCTTTCCCCCCATGCAATTCACTTAAAATAATGCAAAGAAATATGTGTAGATTGTAGAACAACTCCATTAAAAGAACTATGATTTCGTTTCATAGAAACTGTATAATGAATTTTTGTGCTTAAACTGTATTTTTTTACTTTATACTGTTTATTTCATAGTAAAACTAGTATAATTGGAATAAAAAGTATTATTTTAAATTTAACATGACAGTTAACCATAGAAGTAAAAATACAAAGCAAATCAAAACAACTGGAAATACAGAAAATTTTGCGGTGACAGAGAGAAGTTTGAACTGGTAAGAGTGAGGGGGTGGCTTTGATTGGGCAGAAGTCAGCCCATAAAAAATAGAAAGGATCTATGGGAGCTCTGCTTCTGTTTCTCTCCTGAAACTACATTAAAACAAAAGGTTCCTGTCCTCACCTATGACTATTCAGAGCTCTGATACAAGTATCTTCAAGAACAAAATCGGAACAACACAGAAATCCTGTGCTTATGGGGGAGCTGACAAAATGGGGAATAAATTTGGAAAGCTACTTTCCTATACCTTCTCCTTCAAACTCCCTGATTGGTGGATTCGTATCTATTGCAGAGATCCTCGATTCTAAAGCTAATTCTTCTTGGGAGTCAAAGCGTGAAACCATTTACCTAAGGATTTGTTTAATGGGGTCAGCCATTATTAATGGCTTATTGATAATTGGGGTTTTCCCCTCTGGGGCTCATCCATCCACATTTCCCCCAAAATTCCTTTAGCGTATTGGAGTTGACACTTGATTTCTGACTTTCCTCCATAAGCATTGACAGAGTCGCTTTTATTCCTAAGGGAAAATAAACTCCTAGATATAAATAACAAGACACTTGAGAAAGACGCTACTGGTTTTGTCAGAAGTAGAGTTATTAAAACATATTTATCAAGATTTAAAACTGGTCAAATAATAAACTAAAAAAGAAATGGAAAGATAATATAAAAATGCAGCAAGAGTAGGAAAAAATACTAAATAAAGAGAATATATCATATACAATAGATAAATAAAATAGGTAGAATTAAGTTATATGGTTAGAGATGAGAAATGTATTAGTAAATGGGAAGATCAGCTCAAGAAAACTTCTCAGAAAAAGAAATAATTTTAAAAATGTAAAAGATTAAAAGATAAGCTAAGAGATAGGGATATTAGAAACCAAAGTGCTAATATTTAGATAACATATTTATTTCAAAAACATAAGAAATAAAAATGAAGAGTAATAAATACTCAAAGTAATAATGAATATACATTTTCCAGATTATTTGATGTCCCAGTTTGAAAGGGCCCTGAAAGTTCTAAAGAGAAATGATAAAGAAAAACCCATACTTACATTTTGTAGGGGAATTATAGAATATCAGAAAGTGAAGAAGGCTTAAATAGAAAGATTGCAGGATAAGCAAGCCTCAGAGCGTGAATGACATCAGAACCACAAACAAGGTGCCAAGAGTTAGGGCTGAAAATTGTGTAAAGAAAAATTATGAAAAACAAAAAAAATAAGGTCAAGAGAGTACGGAAACATTGTTTATTAAGCTCACTCAAAGATTATTTAATCATGTAGGGGAATGCATTTCTGTTTGAATTTTACCATTAATTAAAGAGTTCAGACTTTCAAAGTTATACATTAACTTCTTATTGTTTGATAAAGATGTAAGGAATATTCATTTTAAAAAGATTATCTCCAACATATAGTTTTTACTGTTCTGTCAGACCTTAACCAATTCTATATTTAAACTTTAAAATCCCTGTAAATTCTGAGTTCCTCAAAATACTTTCGGAAACAACTTTACCCTGTTCCATGCTGAAATAAAACCAGACATGATTTTTGCTTAGTAATTTCACATCAGTTACGGTTACATATTTTACCATTTCCATTGTATTCTCAGTATTAAAGCAGTTTTTAGAAGTGGCAATAGTGTAATTTTTGAATATCCATTTAATTACACATATATGCATTCAATCATTAATGAGTTAATAAATCTTTGAGAAACATCCATTTTATATTTGTATTTTGGTTTTGTATTTGTACAAAACATCCATTTTGTATTTGTATTTCTAACTTGTGAAAATTATGCTTTGACACCTGGAATCTGGAAGTAATATTTTGTAAGAAAAGATATTTACAGAGACCAGGCACAGTGGCTCACGCCTGTAATCCCAGCACTTTGGGAGGCCGAGGCAGGTGGATCACAAGGTCAGGAGATCGAGACCATCCTGGCCAACACGGTGAAACCCTGTCTCTACCAAAAAATTACAAAACTTAGCCGTGCGTGGTGGCGCATTCCTGTAGTCCCAGCTACTCAGGAGGCTGAGGCAAGGGAATCACTTGAACATGGGAGGAGGAGGTTGCATTGAGCCAAGATTGTACCACTGCACTCCAGTCTGGTGACAGAGTGAGACTCCGTATCAAAAAAAAAAAAAAAAAAAAACTAGAAAAGACATTTACAGAATCTTTTGTATGTCCACATCTTCCATAGCCCAGAATATTTTTCTTGAAAACAAGATCTATGGGATGATATTTGTACCCTCTACATGAATTTGTAGAGATTAAATAAAATAATACATATAGAGCACTTACCACAATACATGGCTGAATAAGCACACAATAAATATCAGTTCTTGTAACTTTCACTCTTAAAAATAACCAAAAGAAATATGTAACTTAGCCTAAAAACCATTTATGTAACAACATAGACTTGGAAAAATTCAGACACTTGTAGCCAGAAAGAAAGCACATGGTTTTAAAAACCTCTGTGGCATATTTATGTTTTTTTTCTGCACCTATGTATACTTTGATATCTAATAAAAATAATATTGAGTGTGAATTGTTTATTTATAGTTGAACACTTTGAAATTATCCAGTTAAATATCTGTCAGGCACCAAAAGGAACGTGATATCTGTTGTCTTCTTTATTTTCTATTGACGTTTAAAGGTATTAAGTAATTTCTCTGGCTGTTCCAGAAGAGTTCTCATTCCTTTGGTTTGCAAATTAGAAAGTTGGGAATTTTAAAGGCTTATTCTTTACAAAAAAAGAAGAATTCAAGTTTTCAGAAAATATGAAGAAATCAGAATTGCAGCTAAAAAAAATACAGAGTTAAAGATTGCATTAGCTTTAGGAAACTTACCAGGTAGATATCAGAGTCAAAAGGACAAACTAAAGAAAGAAGGTTCGCTTCACATGTTTTTATTTTTTGAAGAATATTTGAATCCTTCGCTTCTCAGATAACATAACTATTGTGTTTATTCAAACGTATTTTTTTCCATTCAGGATAAAATGTATTAAGGCATATATGTGTAATTAAATGGATATTCAAAAATTACACTATTGTCACTTCTAAAAACTGCTTTAATACTGAGAATACACTGGAAATGGTACAATATGTAACCGTAACTGATGTGAAATTACTAAACAAAACTCCTGTCTGGTTTTATTTCAGCATGGAACAGTGGAAATTTTTAGTGACTAAACATTAAACACTGATAAAACCAGGAAGGAACTCAAAGAACAGAGGAATAGAATATAATCCTACTTTTAGATGAATAGATTATATGATTATACATTGACATAGGTAACACATGCATATAGATGTGTATATATGTATATATACATAGATAATATATGTATATTTATGTCTACTATTTGTTCATTAATAGATACAAGATGGAATAAGATAATTAGGGTTGCTAGCCTTTTCAAGCATGTTCTTCCATACTTCTACTCTCATCAGGTGAAAGTCTACTTTGATTTAGATAAAATATTGAATGAAAGTCTGAGGAAAAGTAATTGTCTCTATGATGCAATGAAATTTTTTGACAAACTAGGTGAAAACATTGGTCAGCAACATTGGGCCACATTTCAGAATAAGCAACAAGAAAACAGAACCAAGATACAGGCATATCTTGGTGACATTACTGTTTGGTTCCAGGCCACTGTAATAAAGCAAATATTGCAGTAAAGTGAGTCAAACAATTTTTTTTGGCTTTTCAATGCATATAAATTTTATGTTTACTTATAATACAGCTTATTAAGTGTGCAATAGCATTGTCTCTAAGATAATGTATATACATTAATTTAAAAATACTTTATTACCAGCAAATGTTATTGGGTATCTGAGCTTTCAGCAAATAAACTTTTTTGCCAGTGAAGCATCTTGCCTTAATGTTGACGGCTATAAATGACTGATCAAGGCAGTGGTTGCTAAAGACTGGGGTGGCTGTGACAGTTTTTTAAAATAAGACAACAGTGAAGTTTGCCTCACTGATGGACTTTTTCTTTCACAGAAGATTTCTCTGTAGCATGTGCTGCTGTTTGATTCATTTAACACACAGTAGAACTTCTTTCAGAATTGGAGTTCTTTCAAATCTTGATGCTGCTTTATCAACCAAGTGTATGTAATATTCTAAATCCTTTGTTTTCATTTCAACGAAGTTCACAGCACTGTTACCAGGAATAGATTCCATCTCAAAAAACCACTTCCTTGCTAATCTATAAAAAGCAACTCCTCATTCCTTAGTTTTATCATGAGAATGTAGCAATTTAGACACATCTTCAGGCACCACTTCTCTTAATAATAATTATCTTGCTATTTCCACCACATCTGCAGTTACTGTCTCCACTGAAGTCTTGAACCCCTCAAAGTCGTTCACCAGAGTTGGAATCAACTTTTTCCAAACTCCTCTTAATGTTAATATTTTGACCTTTTTCCATGAATCACAAATATTCTTAATGATTCCTAGAATGGCGAATAATTTCCAGAACATCTTCAATTTACTTTGCCCAGGTCCATGAAAAATGACCATCTATGGTAGTTATAGCTTTATAAAAGGCTATTATTTTTTAAATAATAAAACTTGAAAGCTGAAATTACTTCTTGATCCATAGGCTGCAGAAAGGATATTATGTTAGCAAGCATGAAAACAATATTACTGTCCTTGCACATCTCCATCAGAGTTCTTGGGTGACCAGATACATTGTCACTGAGCAGGAATATTTTGAAAGAAATCTTTTTTTTTTTCTGAGTAGTAGATCTTGACAGCAGGTTTATAATATTCAGTAAAACATGCCTTAAGACATATGCTGTCATCCAGTCTTTGTTGTTCCATTTATAGAGCACAGGCATAATTGATTCAGTATAATTTTGAAGAGCCCTAGGATTTTTGCAATGGTTAATGAACATTGGTTTCAATTCCAAGTCACCAGCTGAATTAATCTCTAATGAGAGAGTCAGCCTTTTCTTTGCAGCTTTAAAGCCAAGCATTGACTTCTCCTTTTTAGTTAGGAAAGTTTGGATGACATCTTCTTTCAATAGAAAGCTGTTTCTTCTACATCAAAAAACTGTTTAGTGTAATTACCTTCCTCAATGATCCATCCTAGATATTCTGGATAACTTGCTGCAGCTTCTACGTCAAAACTTACTGCTTCACCTTGCACTTCTATGTCACAGAGATGGACTTCTTTCCTTAAACATTATGAACCAACCTCTGCTAGCTTCCAACTTTTCTCCTGCAGCTTCTTCACCTCTCTTAGCCTTCATAGAATTGAAGAGTTAGGACCTTGCTATGGATTAGGCTTTTACTCAAAGGAATATTGTGGTTGGTTTAATCTACCATAATCACTAAAACTGTTGATATCAGTAATAAAGCTGTTTCACTTTATCATTCATGCATATGCTGGAGTAGCATTTTTAATTTCCTTCCAACTTTTTTTTCTTTGCATTCACAAATTGGCTAACTGTTAAGAGGCCTAGACTTTGGCCTACTTTGGTTTTTGATATGCCTTCCTCACTAAGCTTAATCATTTATACCTTTTGATTTAAAGTGGGAGATATGTAACTCTTTCTTTCATTTGAACACTTAGAGGCCATTGTAGGGTTATTAATAGACTGATTTCAATATTGCTATATATCAGGAAATAAGGAAGCCCAAGGAAATGGAGAGAGATAGGGGAACGACCACTCAGTGTAGCAGTCAGAACACACAAAACATTTATCGATTAAGTTTAGTGACGTACGAGCATTGTTCACGGCACCCCAAAGCAATTACAATAGTAACATCAAATATCACTGATATGGTATGGATATTTGTCCCCTCCAAATCTCATGTTGAAATGTGATCCCCACTGTTGGGAGTGGGGCCTAGTGAGAGGTGTTTTGGTCATGGGAGCGAATCCCTCATGAATGGCTTGGTGTCCTCCCTGCCGTAACGAGTTTACATGAGATCTGTTTGTTAAAAAGAGTCTGGCTCTCTCTACTCTCTATCTTGCTTCTTCTGTCACCCCATGACATGCCTGCTCCCTCTTTGCCCTCTACCATGAGTGCAAGCTTCCTGAGGGCCTCACCAGAAGCACATGCTGGTGCCACGCTTTTTGTGCAGCTTGCAGAACTGTGCGCCAAATCAACATCTTTTCCTTATAAATTACTATATTAGTCCATTCTCATGCTGCTATGAAGAAATACCTGAGACTGGGTAATTTATAAAGGAAAGAGGCTTAATTGACTCACAGTTCCGCGGGGCCAGGAAGGCCTCACGGTGGAAATGGAAGCAAACACATCCTTCTTCACATGGTGGCAGCAAGAAGTGCCAAGCAAAAGGGAAAAAAAGCCCCTTATAAAACCATGTGATCTCGTGAGAAATCACTCACTATCATGAGAACAGCATGGAAGTAACTGCCACCCACCGGGTCCCACCAGGTCCCTCCCACAATACGTGGGGATTATGGGAACTACACTTCAAGATGAGATTTGAGTGGGAACACAGCCAAACCATATCAATTACCCAGCCTCAGATATTCCTTCATACTGCAAAATAAGTTAACATAATTACTGATCCCAGATCATCATAACAGATATGTTAATAAGAAACTATCTAAAATATGGTGAGAATTACCAAAATGTGACAGAGGCACATAGTGAAAACATGCTGTTGGAAAAATGGCACCTATGGACTTATTAGATGCAAGGTTGCCACAAACCTTTAATTGTAAAACATGCAGTATCTGTAAAGTAGAAAAAAAGGAAACAGCAATAAAGGAAGTATGCCTGAATCTTTTCAACATTATAGTTATGACATCACTTGTGTATGGTGACCAGATTTAACTCAACTAAAACCTCACATGGCAACTGTTAAAGTGACAGAGAAAGTAACTGCTGCCAATTGTAGTCAATCCTAGAAGAACATTTTTGTGAAGGTCATAAATATGCTTCACATTCTATTTCAATAACTTATATTTATATTGTTATTGTATTTGAATTATAATTCATTTGCATGTCCTCCATTGTCAAAATGAATTTCAGATTTTAGATAGGAAAAAAGGAAATTACTTGCTGTGGAAAAAATAAATCTTTAGTATTTAATTGGATATATAATGATAATATCTGTAAAACTAACAGCAAAATTCAAATATGCTTTTATTGAAAAGTTCTTTAGCACTCGCTCTTATCATGTCTCATTTTCTCTGACATACTAGACCTAAATTGCCACTTATAATGTGTGATGAACATACAGAAACTTACATGTTGCCTTTTGTTTTATCTAGAAGCAAGTAGATTGTACAAATAGGCTTGATTGCTCTGTGATAGAAAATGTGACCATCTGTAACAATTCATATTGTGAACTTATTACATAGATAATTATTATGATTAGTGTTACAATTCAGCAATCAGAAATCTGTACAGGATCCAAAGGAACACAGCAGGATAATACTCTATCTAAATGGGCTCAGGAAAAATGCAATTTATTTGACACACTCCACAAGAGAGGCAGAATCAATTGGACATATAACGTAATCATTTTTCTCTCCCTCAGCAGGTTGGCACAGGAGCCAGCATCATGCATGGAAGGGAGTTTGCCATACAGAACCACCGTTATTGCATCTGCATGAGAATAGATGAACCCTTGGGTACACTCAAAATATTGCTGGAGTTCCCTTTATTCAGACAGGACAGGCTTCCCTAAAGACACTCTCCTTTTATATCACACAGGACACATATTTCACCTTCAAGTGCTATTTTTATGTCACTCACTTAGAAAATTAAACCTTGTCATCTCTCTAATTCTACTTGGTTTCAAGTGCAGCAATAACATTTAGGCTAAACTATATATTTTGCAAGAAAAATCCATCCTCCCTCCTTATATTCTTTTTGGCTGGCCTGTGAAGTATTCTTTGAAAACCAGTGAATCATATTCTGAGAATTATAAGCTTATTTAAACATTTTTAACACTGAATGGTCTTCTGAGCTTGAAAGACATGATAGCTTTTTACTACCATGCTGATAAAATATGTAATTGTTCAATTTCTAAAAAGCTGTTGTATTGTCTCTAGTTACTCCACATCTGCTACATTAAATAAGACATGACAGAAGGGAACTTGGTGGGAGGGAGAGAGGGGGAAGGCAAAGGAGTCCTAAAGACATGCAGGTGGAAAGTTGTTATCCCAAACATCTGGACCTATTTACTAGGTAGTTGCTACCCTGGGATAGATACATGCTCTATTTACAAAGTCCCTTGGTAGAATACAAAATTTTTTAAAAAGGAATGTCTTACTGCATAAATACCCAAATATGAAAATATTAACTTTCAGAAATAATCAAATATGTAATCATTAAGATGGAGCATCATTTGTTTCCAGTTAATGGAAAATTGAAAGGATATGTAAGTGTTCAGTACAAGTTTTTGAAGAGATATTAATTTCAATATTTTTTATTTCTAAGCTATGTATTCATAAACAAATGACATTAAAATAAACAGAACTTCATTATATACCATTCTTTTCAAGACATTTTATACATATTTATTGTCTATTTTGTGCCACATATTCCAGGCATCATTTTATTAAAATTATTTATGTACTTAAAGAGTGAGTGATTATATATCATGACAGTTCTTGGTTTTCCTTTTTTCTTTATAGAGCATATTAATTTTGAATGCACATCATGGCACACTTTTTATAGGTATAAAAAGAACTGACAAATGCAAAACATGACTGCTTCCATAGCCATTTCCTTTCTCCATTTGGAGGATGCTAAATATAAATGTGTCTTTTGTTTTCAGAAATATTCTATCTATTCAATTTTCTTTGGTTTTCATTTCTATAAAAAACATACTACTGTTGTTGAAAATAGTATAAATCTTGCATCAAAGCAATTTTCTTGTTTTTCCATATTCCAGATTGTCAGTCTCCAGAGTTAACCAAATTCAACATTTCTACCTGTTTCTTCTTTTACTTTTGTATTTTCTAAATCACATGTGTATTCTTTCTTTAAGTATTTAGTCCTACATAATATCTATGGACCTCCTAAAGTGGAAAATAGGAGAGAAAAATTGGCCTTTTGTATCCTGCCCTCTTCGCGCCAAAGCACATATACATAAACACATGCATAAACCTATGCATATGCATACACATACATTCATACATGCTTTCTTCCAATAGAATTATATAAGGGCTTGATTAAGTTAATAGTTAATGTTTGCATTATGTGACCATGTAAATATTATTTGTAGCTAAGCTAAGTAAAATATTCCATATAGTATCACTACATTATCATTACATTTTATATTTTGCTCAACTCTTTATTGCCCTGGAGTTAATTTTTTCATTTGGTTATTTTCCAGCGTGGCCATCAGTAGTTCATTCTCAATCAATCTCTAAATACCTTTTCAATGAATCGAAACACATTCACATAACTCTTCAGTTTAACCTTTTCTTTGAGACACTCCTCCTGAAGTCTTCTGCACTCCAGCTTTAATCTGAACTATGTGCTTTCTAGAATCATTGCTCACTGGTCAACCTGGGACTTCTTCCCTTGACCATCAAATCAGGAATTCCTTTCATTCTTCTTCTGTGGGAAGGCCTTCTTTCCAGGGTCCTCATTCTTTCTCTTTCTTGCTTTTCTCATGCTACTAAACAGAGCACATACTCCAGTAGCTTCCTGAGAATGTGCGTGTGCATCAAAACCTTGAGGACATGAAAATCTTTTTCTTCAACCTTCACAAATCTTTCATAGTCTGGCTAAATATACACCATCTTGCCTTAGAATTTTTAAGACACTATTTCACATTCTTCTAGCTTCTAGTAAGAAGTCTGAGGACATTTTATCATAAGATTTTTTGTAGGTGACATGTTTTCTTTCTTCCCTCTTTAAGAATTTAGGAAATTTATACCTATGGTGAATTTTTAAGATGACTGTTTTTGGAGGTGTTTTTAAAAATCATCGCTCATAATAATCTTCGTATCCTTCTGAAAACTATTATTCAGTTATGAAACATTTGCTTAAATTTAAAATATAAATTTACTTCTTTTTTGTTTATTTTTCTGGAATTCATGTTATTAGATGTTGGTACTACTGGATGGATACTTTTGATTTGGATATATTTTTTCTAGTGTATTTCCTTATCTTTTGCTGTTTTAGTTTCCTGAAAAATTTCCTCAATTTTTATCTTTATACACATACACAAAGATACTTTATCTATATAGCATTCTCTGTAAATTTTATTTCCTCTGAATTCATTTATTTTTTTCTTTGTTAAGACTTCTTTTATGTAAACGCTTTCATCAAATATCTTATGATTCTTGTTCATTTGTATATATGTAAGAGGGAGGGACTAAAAGGACTTTTCAACTACCCTTATTTACAAATTCTGAAACTAAATGAAATGAACATATTTTGGACTACCTAATCCACATTTTGCCTTTTGTAAGCTTTCATAGTAAATACATAACTCAATGTATTTTCTGACATGAAGAAATAACTCTAGTGGAGAAAAAAGAAGCATGCATGATTAAACACCACACAAGATGAGATGAAATAAATAAAATTTTCATTTTGCTTTCTTTTTGTTTCTTATCAGTTGGAAGCGATTAGGTGCTAATCTGGAGTGCAAGTTTTCCTGTTGCATCTGAATATAAAAAATAGACATCAAAAGGACTATTTTTATATTAAGATTTATGCGTAAGATGACCCTTCTTTATATGAGAATAATAAAACAGTGCACAGTTAGAGTGATTTCTGTGATTGACTTTCTACACTATGCTAACTGACTTATCTCTGCCAATATGGCAATCTTATTCCCCTTGGCAGTGACTTGTTTAGCAGTGAGCATACAAAGGAACAAAAGTCCTGTGTGAAGTTTCAATTCTTAGATAACATGAGATGAGATTGTCTCTTCATCTGGATATTTTCATATTTTGATATTTTATCTCAATCTGCAGTCTTCCTGCATCCATAAGGACAAAGCCAAATCAACATGGTAGAGAAGATAGGTGAAAAGAACCTCATATTTTTGAGTACATCATTGGACCAATGTGTCAAGAGTCCTGGATTAATTGTACATTACTATTGTATTAGATAATAAATATTCTTTTATTGAATGAATTTGGGTCATGCATTCAGCTACAGGCATTTCAGCTAACACAATAAATTGTTTTATATTTAATATAAAGAATGTATTCTCAAAGGACAACTTACTATAAGATTAAAAAATACAGGAAGAAATTAAAATACTTGTACTAATAAGTAGAAATCCCATGCTTGCTTTCAATGTAAAAAGCAAAGGTTTATTCACACTTTGTGATACAATAAAACTAATTTAGTTAATTGAAGAGGTGGCTATGAGAGTATTTCAGGTTACAACAATGTTTCAGATTGTAAATAAATATGAAAATAAACAATTGAATGAGCTTTCTTTCAAAAAGTTTTAAAAATGCAATCCTGTATATAAAATTTTAGAGGAAAGATTTTTAGATAGCAGGATTATTATAAAAGTAGTACATTTTGTTAATGTTTTAAAAATAGAGCCATTTTATTTTGTCTTATTTAGTGCCATATAACTAGCTTTAAGACCGTATTGAAACATGGATTATTTTTGTCAATACTTAAAGTGATTGCATTACTGCGATTTTAAATTAATACAAATGTAAAAATTAAAACTAATTTTATTTTTAAATTTTTCAAATGATGCTTATGAATATTATTATACTTAATCTCAAAAACATTCTACAATGAAATAAGAACATATTATTATGATTGATATTATATAGATCAAAAAAATTATGCAGGAATAAATTAAAATACTTGTACTAAGAAGAAGAAATCCCTTGTCTCAAGCCAGGTTATCTGGGGATCATCTATTTCAAACTTGATAAGCTTCTATGATGGCTTCAGCACATTACAATTATTATGACTAAAATACTCTTTTCAAAATAAATCTTCATATTAAGGACATTATTCTGCCCTCTGTTTGCTTCCCCATTCTCTTTTCAGGTTTAGATTAATTTTGAGAGAGAATCTGAAGGTGGATTAGATAGTAATCCAGCAAAAACTATTTAGAATGGCACTGGTTTTGATTACAGTAAATAGATTACTTTAAACAAAAACCCTATATTACTCTTAGTAACAAAATCACAGAGATTAGCATAGTAGAAATACTGATTCTGTATCCAGGAACCCGCCATCTTGAGGGATTTAACCATGATAAAATGTAATGCCAACCAATTTGGAGTTTTACTTAATATCTTCTTCCTATCAAGTGGAAAATACAGTTTTGTGGGGGAAATGACACTATGTCTTTGTATAATGCAATATACACTCTATCCATAATGCTTTTATTTGAACCACAGGATATTGCCAATATATAATCATCCTGAGCCTACAAATGGCAATTTCATCTGATCCAATCTGATATTTTTTGATATTTATTTTTACTAAAAAAACCTGAGAAAAAGAATAAGATCAAATTATCAGCTTTACACGCATTACAGTTTTAAAAATAATTCTTATGTACACAATGACTAATTTTAATTTGAAATATTTAATTTATATATGTCTCACTAAAGGAAGACTCATGCCATAGAATCATAACCATAAGTTTAAAAAAGCTACTTAAGTACATTTTTTTGTATGGATGACAAGGTCCCTATTAGAATGTCACATCAAAAGAGTATTTTGCAAAATTTAATATGTAACAGTAACATGACAATGTAACAATGCAAATATTTACTTTATGCTATAACATCATCAAATCCACAAATAACATCTTTTTAAAGAATTAAATGACTCATAGTGAAAAGAATCCAGGACAATGACAAAAATAAATTCAGAAAACCTTTCAATTATGGTCTAGATATTAAATTTTTTCTAATATTGAAGGCAAAACTTTTTCCTACTGTTCAATGCATTCCTAATCTTCTCCCAGTGCCTGTGCTTTCTATTTGATAGGCACTTTATAGTGTTCTTATGTTTTATATCACAATACGATTATTCTCTTAGTGACTCATGGTTAAAGGAACTCAGGGAGGGAAAAGCCTACATAACCAATACAGATTTTAACAGTACATTTGAAACTTTACAAATTATAAACTTATACCCTTTTATTTTACTATAATAATGACATTCATTTTATACTGCTTTATGTTTTACGAGGACTTTGATTTATATTACAGTGTCTCATTTAGTGTTTTTTGTTTTTGTTTTGTAGTTGTTGTTTGTTTTTTTGTGAGACTGGGTCTCACACTGTCACCCAGGTTGGAATGCAGTGGCATGATCATAGCTCACTGCCTCCTCAAATTCCTGGGCTCGAGGAATCCTCCCACATCAGCCTCCTGAGCAGATGAAACTACAGACACATATCACCACACCCAGATAATTAATTTATTTATTTTTGTGTATAGGCAGGGTCTTGCCATCTTACCTATGCTAGTCTTGAACTCCTGGGTCTTTCTATGCTTTTATTTTAAGGTTTTACATTACACTTGACTGAGAACTATAATAAATAAAAGAATATTTTATAATAATTTTATAATATTATAAAAATTATTTTATAATAAAAATAATAAGTTTTAAGAAACTATTCAAAATTCTACACGGGAAAAAAAAGGAAAGAATTTTCCTTTACTATTTATAAACTTAAGCACAAAACAAAACCTGTAAATAAAATAAATATAATTTCATGTTTATATGTAAAACAACATTAAAGATACTCCTAGTTTTAAACATTTTAATTACACCTTTATTAAGATTAATTCACATACTATAAAAGTTACCCTTTTAAAGAGTACAATTTAGTGGTTCGTTGTATATTCATAGAGTTGTGTAACTATCATCAATATCTAACTTCAGAATTTTTTAACACCTCAGAAAGAAATTCTGTGCTCATTAGCAGTGGATGTTTGTAATATTTTTTAAAGAAAAAAACAAATTACACACATTTTGTTTTAAAAACAGAACCAAAATGAAAACTTAGATGTTTTTTTTTTCCCTTGGATGTGCTTCTACAAAACTATACCCAGCAATTTTGACTTCATGCTTGGGAAAAGACTTCCAAGGGATAATATTATCATAATAAATTCTCTGAAATGTTTTATATGATCTGGACTTGAGATGTCCACCCTAAAACTGTCTTCCTTCCATGTATACAATGAATGTGTAATTAAATGCATGAATGTCTCCAATTCCTTACCCTTTCTACATCCAGGGGTTTTTGCCATACAAATGTGTAGTGCCCTCCCACTCAGGCCTCTCAAGTACCATGAACTTGAGTCAGTCAGTCATTCTATTCATTCACTTATGAATTAATTCATGCTGTACATATCGCCTGAGTACCATAATATATGTCTACTATCATAAATAATGTGCTGCTCATGGCCAGGCAAAGTGGCTCATGCCTATAATCCCAGCACTTTGGGAGGCCGAGGAGGGCGGATCACAAGGTCAGGAGTTTGAGACCAGTCTGGTCAACATAGTGAAACCCCGTCTCTACTAAAAATACAAAAAAGTAGCCAGGTGTGGTGGTGTCCACCTGTGATCCCAGCTACTTGGGAGGCTGAGGCAGGAGAATTGCGTGAACCTGGGAGGCGGAGGTTGCAGTGAGCCGAGATCACACAATTGCACTCCAGTCCAGGCAACAGTGCGAGACTCTGTCTCAAAAAAAAAATAGTAAAATAATAAATAAATAAATAATGTGCTGCTCATATTCTAGAATTGAGAATATCATTGTTCTGAAAGTATATTCTAGTTGAAAGACCAATAATACTAAAAGATAACAAAAATAAAAATTGGTAAGTGTTATAAAGAAAAATACAATCAACCTAAGCAGGGAGGTAGTTGGGAAAATTCAATTTTAAACATGTTGATCTAGGAAGGCTTCTCTGAAAAAGTAATAATTTGACATAAATCGGAAGGAAGCATAACAATGAGGGAGGTGACATCTAGGGAAACAATCTGAAGAAGCAGTAAGCACAAAGAACCTGATCAGGAATGAACGTGGTTCCTTTGTGGAATTGGCAAGAAAACCAAAAAGGTATTAAGTGCCCAAGAATATGTTGAAATTTCCAAGCTTTCTAAACACAATTTCCTACTTTGAAAGAAAAAATGACTGGATAACAGAGAGTTTCAAACATTAAAGCAAATAGTCAATTTGAAGTTACTTGTCCTTTTTAAAAAAATTTCTGTTTAATTCTTTAAGAGTGCCAATCTCCTAACAAGTATCTCAACATTCAGATCCCATCTTTCACTACACTGATTCTACTGCCAATCTCATTTAAGATATTTGACCACCCAACATTTTAGGCAAAGCAATCTTGAATGCCATGTTTACAAAAGAAAAGTTAATTACTTTATCAATATAAATTTTAGACTTTTGAGCAATAATTAATTATTAATACAGCATGTTCCTGTGTGTTTTGATGTATACATACTAACTTTTTTTAACTTTTACATTCAGAGGTGCAAATGAAGGTTTGTTATATAGGTGAACTTGTGTCATGGGAGTTTGTTGTACAGATTATTTTATCACCCAGGTATTAAGCCTAGGACCCATTATTTATTTTTTGGTCCTCTTCCTCCTCCCACCCTCCAGCCTCTGAAAGCCCCAATGTGTATTGTTCCCCTCTATGTATCCATGTGTTCTCATCATTTACCTCCCACTTTTAATTAAGAACATGCGGTATTTGGCTTTCTCATTCTGTGTTTGTTTGCTAAGGATAATGCCCTCTAGCTCTGTCCATGTCCCTGCAAAGGACATCATCTCATTCTTTTTTATGGCTGCATAGTATTCCACAGTGTATATTTACCACATTTCCTTTATCCAGTCTATCCAGGCTTATCAAAATTATGTCTATTTTCCTAATATAACCAATTCCAAATTCCTCCCAAATTTATGGAGGTAGCACTAAAGGCAAAACCTCAGAAAACTACTATCTACTAAGGCAACAATCAATCTATTTCTAAAATCAAAGGAGAACTTTTAACTATAACAAGTATAGATTTGAAAGAGATAATAATTCAAAGTTAACATATTTTGCCACAAGAAATACAACACTCCTATGGAAAGCAGGGTAAATATCTTCTTTCCTACCTCCCTACCCTTTCAAAACCATCAAAATAGAGTTTCATATTCTTTCATCTTCCCTCTGGGCCAAAGTTTCAGGGACTACACTAATCAAAACTCTATGCCACAGTGTTCTCAGCCATGTGGCTAACGTTTTCCAAATGGCCAATGAACAAGTCTAAATAACCATTCATACCCTCATATATCAATTTGAATGCATTGATTCTTATAATACCACATAAAGAAGTGGGCTTGTGTTGTAATCTTAGGAGGTAAAATCTCAACAATTAAAGTTCTATAGATAGAAAAGTAAAAGGGACCCTGAAAGACTTTTTGACATTAACAAAACTTCAAATTGTCAGAAAACCAGTATATGCCTTTTTGCTTTGTTCTATCTCACCTCAAACTTTAAAAATAATACATTAATTTATTTCTGTTAGACTATGTACATTGATCTATGAATTATGCAGGGCAATCTGACCTCAAATACAGATTTGGGAAGAAGAGTAGGTATGAGTAAAAGACTATTGTGAGTGCTGTCAAGATAGTCAACTTACCTATTGGTATATGTCTGGTATGTAATCTCCTCTCTTCTAATAATGAATAGAGGGAAACAAATGCATTTGCCTAAAGAAATGAAGAACAAAAGTAAGAAATATTACCTTGAGAATGGGCTTACTTCTGGAAATTATTTGCCATAGGAGTCTAAGGAATATTAGAATGGACTACCAATTTTAATGCTACAATATAGTGCCACTTCTAGGACTTGTGGCCAGACATCTTTAAGATATGCTGGAATGGGAAGAATTCTGGGTGAGAGGTAAGGCAGAAGGCAGGAGAGCAGAAACAACAGAAGTGACGCTTACATTGTAGGCAGTGAAAGGCAGAGCTGACACTGGATATTCTGAAGAGAAGTTTCAGGGACACTTTAGAACAACCTCAAAACCGTTCTTTGAACACAGTCAAAAACTAAAACCAAAAGTAGAGTATGTCTATAGACGGCAAACAAAATAAATCCAAACCAAAAATAACTTGTGCTCTTTGCCACATGACTTGGTCAACGAGAACAAAAGCAATAATCACACTCATACTTCAGGAAAACCTTCTTAACCCAAAGAAAAGAAATGAAATTTTCTAGGTTAAAATGGCTCATATTAGATCACTCAAATTAATTTTCATTTTGGTTAAATGTGATGGACTAAGCACGAGTTTCTACTTCTCTTCACAAACAAAGGGACATTGAAATAATAGACAACTGGACAAGAACAAAAGAGAGAATGAAATTATCGTGCTGGAAGTTGGAAAAAGGAAGTTGCTTTTGTCCTTTCAGACAGCTATAGCAAAATAATGGGTAATTTATAAACAATAGAAATTTATTGTTCACAGTTCTGCAGGCTGGAAAATCCAAGATCAAGATGCCAGCAGATTCTCTGTCTGGTGAGGGCCTGGTTTTCATAGATGGTGTCTTCTATGTGTCCTTACATGGGAAAAGGGGTGAACAAGCTCTGTTGAGCTTCTTTTGTAAGGACACTGCGCCTTATGAGCTGAGCCAACCAAATTACCTCCTAAGGCCCCACCTCTTAATATCATCACCTATGGGGTTAGGTTTCAAAATAGAATTTGGGGGAGGCACAAATATTAAGACCATAGCATCATCCATCACACATTTTAGATTTACTTGGAAAGCAGAATAGATTGAATAGTTGGAGAATGAGCTGAGGAAACCAAGATAATACTTCTAATGATCCTCCCAGGCAAATCCCAGAGAAGTAAAACATCTAAAACAGCCACATAGCAGAGATTCCTTTTTTCCTCAGTTTTCCAGTGGATCACATATTGTCTAGATTATTTGCTTTAAACTAAAAATTTCTCACCATAAATTAAGAAAATGTTCGGGACTTCATACCTTGAAAATTATTTTTTAGTAGTTCTAGAATGGGGTCCAGTTAAGTGTATGCATCTAGAGTTCTCAGGTGACTTTGAAGGACATTCTGGCTATGAACTGTTACCTTCAAAAGTGGTGGTGGCTCTTACTGACAAACTCCTATTCTGAGGTAAGCCAAATAGTGATTCTCTGCATATTATGCAAGTTTAGGTAATAGCATGGGCGAAATGTTTTATTTAATAAATCACTTTTATGTTGTTCATAGTTTAGAAAAATATTTAAGTATGGAGTTTAAAATAGTTGGTGTTCAAAGGCTTTTCATAAGAAAATGCTCATTATATTTTTGTAGGAGTAGTGGGCAAACATATTTATTTTTCATCCTTAGTTTTTCTCTATTCCTCTCTCTATATAATATAAAATATATATAATTTATATTTTATATATAATAAATTTATACATAAAATATGGTATAGTGATCTCTAAATACAAAAATTATATATAGATATATGAATTACATGTTAAATACAACTGACTGATATTACACATATAATTGTATATATATATACACACACACACACACACACACACACGCAAACACACACATGCACAGTACATATAATTCCTGTAGAGCTCACTATACCAGATTTTCTGGAGAAGAATTTGGTGGTATATGTCTATAAATCTATATCTATATGTATATCTTATGTGAGAACTTTACTTTCTCAAATTATATAATTGATCCAAAAATTAAATATCAAATCTGCAGAGTTAGTGATCTATATATCCAAAAAACCGTAGTTTATTTAGACATTTTTTCAAATGAAAAACTAAAGGAGAAGCTCAGTTGAACCTACTTTTTTAAGTTTTAAAATAATTTGCCATATTAATGAATTAGTATAAGATACATAATATCATAATACAAAGATTGATGGAGGTAGGTATTGATAGGATTGTAAGTTAATAACAGCTTTAGCTTTCTTCATACACAGCAAAAAAGAAAAAAAATAGAGTTTAAACTCCTCCTTCTTCCCTGTCATTCTTCATAAAACCCGCACATACCCACAAAATATACATCAACAACAAAAACATAGATCCGAGGTGAGCAATCCATTTCAAACTATAAAGGAGGATTGGACCATTAAATTGTATAATTGGAATTATGGTTAAGACATAAAGTCCTATGCATTGTTATTTTCTATTCATTATTAGTATGAATTAAGAATCCTCCTAATCAACAGAAATTTGAATTTCATTTTGATGTTTGGAATTCTTTATCTTCCTTTAACTGCTGTTCGCAGGACTCAATCAAGGATATGTCTTTGCAATGATGTTACCGATATATATTTCATAGTTGAGTGGAAAATTCTAAAATAGCCAATACATCATTTTGCTCTAGATTTGGAAGCTAATAAGACATGGCTACAAATGAATAATTAAAAAACCAAATTACCAAATCATATCCCTAAAGGTTTCTTTCAGTTCCCCAGACGGTTCCCCTACAATTGGCTTCTTGTGTATGAGTAATGAAAACCAAGATTTGCGTTTACTTCACTGACCCTGAAAACAAAAACTCTTATATTTATTTTGAAAGTATTATAGACATTTGGTTTTATGGAAACATTCTTCAATGTTTCAGATTTGGGAAGTACTACAGTGCTATCTTTAACAGTAGGTTTTCCTCAGCAATGTTGGTTTAGGACAATACTTTTCTATCTTTAACATGGATAAGAATCACTTGGAAGGCTAGTTTAAAACAAGATTGCTAGCCTAGACCTGTGAGTTTCTAATTGACTAGCTCTAGAATGGGGCCCATAAATTTGCAAACGTTGAGGACCACTGATTTAGGATATGTGTCCATTAATTTATCAGCTGAAATTACATATATATAACTAATAATAATAAAAAACAATATTTATTATAATATAATTTATTATCATTGAATAATAATAAATTAAATAATAATAAATAATATATATTTTATATATATAACTAATGAAAAACAACTTGTGCTGATTTGAACTGTGTTTATGTCTCTGAAAAGTCAGTTTCAGAAAATGTCAACATATGGTTCCATATATTCATATTTAAAATAACAAATTTTATTTCTAGTAGCAACTTTATGTTATTAATGCCTCTTGCTTAAAATGAAGTGAAACTGTGAATATTACCAATGCTATTACACTGAGAAGTAAGAAAGTATTTTAGAAGAGCAAATTGCTAGTTTTTAACTTTCTTTTTATATATATATACTTTTTTTATTATACTTTAAGGTCTAGGATACACCTAATGTAAATGACGAGTTAATAGTTTTTAACTTTCTGTGCATTTTTTGGCTTCAAATAAAATCTTAACAACAATAGTCTCCTTGGGCTTTTCATTGACATCTTTTAAAGTAATTCACAGGCTGAGGAGTGCAGAAGTTAATCATTTTGACTAATTTGTAATTAGCTCTACCTGTATTCCAGAGGAAATGATCAATATTACCATTTGAAGAGGCCAGGCTTAGATCCAGCAACACTTCTAGAACATCCGCAGTTAATTTTTGACATTCAGTGCTTGTTCCTCACTGGAAAAGCTAAAATTCTCTCATTCAGTCACAATTTATTAGAAAGTTTTTTTAAAAATGGAGAAAATAAACATCTCTTTTTAACTTTTTAAAAAATTTGGGTGAAAAAGGTGTTTAAAAACACATAAGTCAGTTATTATTGTTAAAATTATTACTGAATTAGTGAAAGATAATTCCTGTCATATGTGTTCAATTTTAAGAAAATAAAAAAATTTCCCTTGCAGATTAGTTTTCTAACACATTTGACATACTTAAAGTAGAGCTGAAATGTTTTGAAATGTGAAATCAATTAACCTTTAAACAACTTTTAATTTGATTTTCCTGGCAATTCAGAACACCTGTTTTGGGATCTGGTTATACCAAACACTATTTCAGAGACTGAGGAAAACATCAGAAAAACAAGAGAATTTCATTCCTGGGGAAGGGGTGTATATTTTAGTAAGAAAAAGAAATTCAACTTAGGAAAATATGATATTTCCTCAAATCTTCAACATGGAGTATGAGATCCCATAAATAGACTCCTGTTGACCATCCCTATTTTATTTTATTATTTAGTTTAGTTTAGTTTTTCAGTGTTCATTTTCCTTTAATGACTCCCATCACCCTGAAGGGCAGATGCAGGCAGGTAGAAGATGGCAAGAGATACTCACTTGACGATCTCGCCCTGATTGAAGGCTTTGCCCATATTCTGGAAACCCTCCTCCCAGGAAAACTACGCTCCAACCAGGGTCTGGGGCTCGTCGCTGCCCGGAGCCGGTTTTTGCCATGTGTATGACTGGTAGTCCATCTGCCAATCTGGACTCAGCAGAAAGGCAAGCTCCTGGCCTCAGAAGCCTCAGACTCCAGAAATAGAGCTACTGTTGTTGGTTCCAAAGAGGATGACACTGGCAAAGGCATCTTCCTCAGCTTGTCCAGTCGCTTGAACATTCCAGTGATGAGATTGCAAGTCATAAAGGTCTGAGTGAGTTCTTTAGGAAAGCGATATTGTGAGTACCACAGGGACCAGCCATCCTTATCAAAGTGCTCCCAGAAATAGGGCAGCACCACAGAGAGCGTGTTCTCGTTGGAGTACTTGCACTTAAATTCATCCAACACAAAGGTACTCTTGAGCAAGTGAGCGAAGAGGTCTTTGACCTTGAGCTCAGCAGCCAGCACCTGCTCACATTCGTCCATCTCCTCAGGAGCAGGGGCAGCTGCCTTTTTCTCCTCCTTCCGCTCAGCCTGGGGCTACTGCTTATTTTCCCGTGAACCTTTCCCTTTCCATGGGGTGTCTTTTTCAGGCTGGCCTTCTGCAAGCTTTTTAGCATCAAACCGGGTCATGTTCACAGACAGTTTCACCTTCCCTAAGACAGCCCGGAATTGGGGCCGGTTAATGCAGGTGAGGAACCAGCAGTTGGTATTGGGAAAGGCCTGGCAGGAAGAAGGCTCCAGAACCTGCTTATAGAGCCACAACAGGGTGCAGAAAACTACTATGTCAGCCAGACGAAGAGTCCTCGTCTTCAAGTGAGCATCCAGCAGCCCCAAAATTCGCCTCACCTCTGCCTTTGCATTCTCAGTAGCCTGTTTGTTGTGGTGCATGATGCCCAAGGTGGGAAACACTGAGACACTGGCTGGGGACACTGCATTGCTATCAAGAGAGCTCACCCACTGCACCACCTGGGCTGCTGCCTATGGAGTCCTTCCCCACCGTTCCTCATTGCTCACATAGTAGCAATGGCATCGCTTTCAAACACACAAAATCCATCGTCACTCTCAAGTGCTGGAACCTTGCTGGCAAGAAATTTGCGAATAAATTTGGGGCTGCTATTGCGAATAAACACAGGGGCCTGGATGGCCTCTGAGCCCCATCAGTCATCTCTTTCTGCTTTCTCAGTTCCGTCAGCTTCCTCACAGTTGAGGAACAGAGTTAGGGGCATTTGCCATTGCTGTGCTCCCAAACTGGGTTGCTGGTTGTGGGATGACCCTTCTACATGAGGAAGAGAGAGGCAATCCATTTCCAATGCCCCACTTATTTGCAGTAAATAAGAGATGGTTGAGGAGGCTTTTGGCAGTTCTGGCTGATATGCCCTGGCTGATTACAGCAATAGCAGATAGTGAACTCCTTTGTGCCCATAAGGCTCCACGCTGATGGCTGGCCAGGAGCCCTTAATACGGGCAGAGAGTTTGCAATGGCAGCAGCCAGGTAGTGAGCCGCCACTCATCTCTTTCTCGATCTTTTCTATCCCATTCAGACTGTGATATTTCCTCCCATTATTAAAGACCTTGAAGAACCACATCCAGCAAGATGGGAAATGGTGTTTGTGGTCTTTGGTCTAGTTTCTGGAGTTTGTGTCTAATATTTGGAGATGCCTGGCTGATAAAACAAACAAACAAACAAACAAACAAAAACACTCAAAATAGCTAGGCTTTCTGGCTTTTGGGGTCCACATTAGTATATTTTCTCTTGGCTCCAGCCAGCTTGGAGTGAAATAGAGCTAGGTTTTCATTTGACCTCTGTGTTACCTCTCTTAGTTCGGCTTAGTTGACCAGTTTTATGGCAGCCTTTTTCATGCCTTCAGTTAAACAAGTAATTATAGGATTATGGCATTCCCTGCCAGTGTTTCTCTCTTGGTAGGTCCATCTAGAATCAACATCAGGAACTGCTGTTCTCCCCAGGCCAGAATCCTAAGGGCTCTGGTCATGAACTTCATCTTTCCACCATTGAGCTAGAGACAAAATGTGGGACCTTTCCTCATGAGTACAACAGTTGGTAAAGATAATATAAACGTCCAGACAAATGAGATCAGAGGAAACAAAACTTACTCTGAATTCTTTTATGAAGTGAGAAGAGTCCTGGCCTTGGTCCTAAAGGAGCTAAGTTTACCTTGTATCTGATAGAAGTCCAAAATGGGAAAGGAACATGGACTCTGATTGTTTTTAGAAGTGGTTTGCCACTTCTCAGAGTGACAAAACTTTTCCTGGGGCTGAAGTGGGATAATAAATGGCTCCCAATCCAGTATGTGAGGGGAGAAAAAGGTTCCAGGTAGGGGAGAGGCAGAGAGAAGGAGGTAGAAGGTGGAGTGGAAGGAGGGAAAGGCATAGGAATAGATACACTGTTGGGGAGGAGGAAGAGGAGGAAGGTGGGGAGGATCTTGACCATGGGAGCATGAAAGAGGGTTCATCTGAAATGTCTGGAGTCAGGAGAGGTAAGAACTTTGCTAGGTAAATTCAACAGTTTCCTTGAAGGTCTGGGTCCCAACCCCAGGGACATAAAAGCCTGGATAAAAGGAACCTCAGGCCATTTGGAGGAATTTTGACAACACAGATTGAGTTGCAAAAAGTATTAAAATCCAAAGTCCCATTCAGAGTCTAGGCTAATCGATCTGAGAGTTTATCAACAGGCTAAACCACATTACACAAGAAAATTAGGCAATTCTTCTTGAGAGTCTGAGGGTGAAATTTGTCCCAATGTTTTAGGATGCAACACAGAGGTGAGTTGGAAGGAATACACAAAGTTTGCCCCATGCTGGGACTGGAAAATGATGAGCCACTGGAGGCTGATATCTGCTGGGGACATGAAGCATACTTTCTCTCAAGGCATCCTGACAGGGGAAAGGATACCATTCAAGTCCACTGGGGTACTTCTGAGATGTCCTTCCTAGAGGGGTATTGCACCTATTTGGAAAGACCTCCCAGCACTGGGGACAATACCGCTGGGACCTTACACTAGATGGCTTGTCCAGGCAGGAGGTATGAAGGTGAAGGGAGAACTCAGCCTGGAACCAGCCCCAGGAGAAGGGATGGGAATGGGGAGATTCATCACTCTGAGGCCACTGGCGATCACCTGATTTGGGAACATTTGGAGCTGGAGGTCTGGCTACCTTTATGTGAGAATTAGAGTAAGAGGAAGAGAGAGTTTATGTCACCCAAAATGTGTGTGGATTTGCCCTAGAGGAGCCGCTGCTGCTAATTCTGCAACATGCAGGGATTGGAGACCTCTGACCAGAAAGGATAGGAAACAACCTTTTTCCCTTCTGGAAGGCAGCCAGATGTTTGCCCTTTGGCCTTCAGGCAACACCAGGGAGCTGCCCTGGACAGATACCACTAGTTACCAGAGCACTACTAGAGGTCGGCTGCTGGAAGTCTGAAAAAAGAAAATGAACTTAGGTCCCTCACCTGAGTGGATGGTGGTAGTCAGACACTTCCATGCAGACACCTTTCAGTTTCACCAGAGTATAGCCCTGGCCATAGACTGTCAGTTGTTTCCATCTTGGGTGCTGTCCACAGAGGATCCTGAGTGGGAAGACAGAAAGGAAGAGGGGAGAGAGTCTCCTGTAGAGAGGTTCCCTGTACAGGCTACCAAAATGTCATGGTCAATGACTGCCTGAGGCCAGCATGGGCGGTAAAAGAATTTACCAAGACAGTCATAAGTTTAGAAAGGCAGATATATTAGAGAAAGGGGAGATATATTGCAAGAGAGCAATGGGCAAAACAGCAGAGGGAAGGTCTGCGACGAAGTGGAGACTAGAGGAGTTTTTAAAGGGTCATGCTGCTTGGGCTAAATGCTTGAAACAGGATGCTTGGGTGCAGGTGTGTGGGGGATCAGTCAGAGTGGTGGGAGAAGCTATAGGGAAAGGAGCAGGCCTTCTGAAAGATTGGAAGACTCTGCATAGCTTTGGGGGAGAATAAGCTGAAGGCAGCTATTCTCCTACCCTGAGGCAGAGGGTGAGGAATAGGTACAACGGAGTGTAGGGGGATTTATCTTAAATAGGCTTGTTTACTTTTGTTGTCCAGGAAATGACCTTTGATCATCCACGTGTGTGACTGCTCTCTGAAAGGGGCAACAATAATGTTAATTACCCACAGATTGTGTTTGCTCCAGGCTTTCAGCATTATGTGTGTATTGAATAAGCAGCTCCAGCTGTTCGAGACTGCTCTTTTCTTCAGCCACTAGTGCCAGCAGCCCCCTAGCTGCTGTTACACTGCATACCTGTGTCTGAGTACTCCTTTCATCCTTCTCTCCACCAGGGTCTGCAGGACGGACCCGGCACAGGTGGGCCATGAGCTGAGCACTTGGGTTTAATGTTTGGTTGCAAGTGAGCCATTTACAGTTGGCCCAGTTTCTCAGAACATTCGCTGTCCTCTATCCCTGTTTCTGTTCCTGCCAGCTAAGCCCATTTTTAATTTTCTTTTAACCCTTAGGGTGCCACAATTACTAATAATTTAACCAAAGAGTTAAATTTTTGGTTCTCATTAACAAAATACATAAATGCTAAGTGATAAAGCACTTAAACTTCTTTGAAAACTTCAAATATAGAAAAAATGGTCTGTCTTTATATAATGGTACTTCCACTATGTTGACTAAAATAGTTTCCTCAGCCACCTGACAAAACTAGAACTGATATATCCACTCTGTTGAATGTTAGGCCACGGTACAGTTGGGTTGGTAATAAATTTGTATTGTGTAAAATTCCCCTCTGAAGCTTTTTATGAGCCAGTGGATGGGCCTTTTTGAATGTAGAAATTGACAGAGCCACTGCTTTCCTGATCAGATGTGCCTTTATTATAATTCTCTCCTAGTGACTCCTTAGATATAATGTAACTTTTATCTCATATCCTTTGCATTGCTGGGATTAGATTTTTTTTTTTCTGTTTTGAGGAATCTCTGTGTACTTTACTCAAGGCTGCAGTTGATATCTAGTTAATTGATACCACCTTACAGGATAGAGGTCAGGGCCTCACCTTCTACCCACTGATCAATATTGCCTTTCCATCCATCAAAATATATCCTTAAGAGACAACGAATAATTCAAGTTGCTGTAGCCATGCATACTAAATGTGGCTTCATAAAATCTACCTCTTTTATTATCATATCTGTATGCTATCTCTGATTTATAACTTATTTTTAAAAACAGTTTTACTGGTTAAGTAATGGACTCTGTTTCTCTAAAGTTTTCAAAACACTCAAAAGGAAGTTTTGTATAACTTCTGAGTGGAGTAATTTCAATTTTGTTAATATCATAGAAGCCAAGAGAGAAAATATAAGGGCAAAGTGCATAATAACAATACCAATCAGATTATTGATCTCAATCATTAGAAGTCCATCAGCCAGCACCTTTCTAATAGTACAACACATACTATAGATTTAATGAGTCTATATTTTCCAATATCCTTTATTGTTTGAACCATTCCTCACTCTGGTCTACTCCTTATATCTTACAAAATAAATGTATAAAAATATCTAGCCTTTTTCTTCTTAATAATAGATATGTTGAATCTGTGACTTATACCTCAAATCAACAAAAATGATGAGTTAATGGGCCTCCCATGTGGTTCCACTGTTATCTTGGTTTTATATTTTGCATGAGTGTAAATCTTTCTCCCATTATAGTTTTTACCATTGCTACTCATGTTTGACATATTGCATCTTGTCAGCCACTTCTACTCTCATTCAAAGATCAAAGTCCTATACACCTTTGGAAAACTTTTTGAAATATTAGTCAGAAGCATTTGGTACCTTATACACTTTGGATATTTTTCCCCTCCAAATCACATGTTGAAATTTGATCCCCAATATTGGAGGTGGGGCCTGGTGGGAGGTATTTGAATCAAGAGGGTGGATCCCTCATGAATGGCTTGGTGCCCCCCTTGTGGTAATTAGTTCTCTTTAGTGAGATTTTATTCTTTTAGTTACCAGGAGATTTAACTCTTAAAGAGTCTGGCACCTCCTCCCTGTTGCTCCTGCTCCCTCTCTCACCATGTGACACGACTGCCCCCTGTTCATCTTCTGCCATGAGTAAAAGCTTACTGAGGCCTCACCAGAAACTAAGCAGATGCTGGTGCCATGCTTATACAGCCTGCAGAACCATGAGCCAAATAAACTTCTTTTCCTTATAAATTACCCAGCCTCTGATATTCCTTTACACATTAAGTTGTTCCACTAGGAAAACTTTCTAACTTGTATACTCATGTTGAATACTTTTAGGGTGGACAAGTTGTTCCTCACTGTCAGTTCATAAACCAGTGTGATGAAAGGAGCACATATATTGCATCAGAAAACTGAACTGCAGTTAATTTTCAAAAATTCATATCTTAATAGGGCATTGCAATTTGCAAATTTCCTATTTCCAGAAGTCCAGAAGACTATGGTAGGTTGACTTCAGTCTTCACAGGAATATATACCATCACACTTTCTGAGCACATCCTATGAGTGCACGCTTAAAGCCAGTAATAAGCTGCAGAAAACTACTGCTAATGATGTTGTTATCTTAGCTGAAACTTCCATGGAGACTGCTGCTGCTTTAGTCTTCTCTTGATTCTGCAAAGTGGCATGATCCTGAGCATATGCTTCCAGTTTATCAGCTAAGTCTGTTTCTGAGGAACTCTTGCTTTCTTTGATGGCGGCTTACCTGTTATCTGAAGTCAGGCCAAAACTCTTTGGAATTTGATGAATACATTCTTGAACATGAAACACTGCAAGAATATTTTGTTTTAGAGTAGAAAACATCCTGTAAACCAACTATTTCATGCATAGTGCCAGCAGCATTGCCAGATTTGCCATCTGTGTAGCAAAAGTTTGTCTATTCATGTTTTATAATTTGAAGATTAAAAGATAAAGGAGCGATTTCTCACTTTCTTTCACCAGAGCCTGAGCTATGACTTGGGTCCTCACTATAGCCACCATATAATTGTCAACCCTCCTAAGTGAATCTCTTCTTTTCAGATCCTTTCAGTTACTTGTCAAGACTGGAGAGAAGATGGTTGCTTTTGGTGAAAGTTTTAATTTAGATGACTTTTAACATCTTTATGACTCAAATCCTTTATGATTTCCAACAGAACCTCAAGGATAGTTTGTCCATGCTTCCAGGACCACCAAGTCCTTTTTCTATCCCAAGTCTGACTTCTCAGGAAGGCACAACTCCAGCAAAGCTCTGCTGGATCATTCTCCATCCTTTCTATTTTAAAAAACAGTTTAATCACATGGATATGCTATTTATATTAGAAAGTTATGGCATTAGTTCTCTTCTGATACACAAAAATTTATCCTAAAACTTAGCTTAAAAAACATTCATTACCTCACACAGATTCTGCAGGTCAGGAATTTGGAAGAAGCTTAGCTACTTGTCTCTAGTGGTAGGTCTCTTATAAAGCTGCAAACAAGCTATCTGCTGGAGCTGCCATTATCAAAAGGCTTAACTAGAATCATGGTATCTTCTCCCAAGCCCTCACATGTAGCTGTTGGCAGTAGGCCTCAGTTTCTACTGATACATAAGCCTAGAACATATAGATATGTTGCATATATGGATATAAATGTGATGACATGAAAGTATTAATAAAGTTGATGTGGAGAAAAATTAATGAATTTTGTTTTGACAATGTTAAGTTTCAGATAACCATGAAGAACACAGTTATAGTAGATATTTAGAGATTTTACACTGTTTTAGATGGGAGAATTCAGAGATTGGGATGAAGATTTTGGTATTTTTATAGTCATGAACTACACAGGGCAGGGAATATAGTCTCAAAACAAGAGGTGGGAACTGAGTAGTGCAGGAACAGAAAAATATATATATAAGCAAAAAGAAAAAAAAAAGACCTTTCATGAATGAAAGGAAAAAAGATAAATCATTGCATTATGGCTCATGAAATTATGGGAAGAAAGTGAGTTCCAAGAACAGGTTCACAAACATCAAGAAGATGAACACACACACACACACACATACACACCTTCAAATAAGAAAACTGGTTCCTTCTCAAGCCAAGATTTTGTGATTTAAGTACTATCCTCCTCTGGGAACATCCCTACAATACCATTAACTGGGATTAATTTTTATGAGGCTTTTACTACCAGCTTTTTTAAAACTAATTTATCCAAATTTTTAGAGCATTAAACACCAAACTTAAGCAGACACCGGATCGTGTAGTATTCACCTTCTTTCAGCATGTCACTGTCTTTAGCTACAAAGCTGATTGACATGATTCCAAATGGAAAAAGGTATGGGAAACTGAATATAAAGGAAAAACATTTGACTGTAGATTCAAAACATATGAGAGGAGAAAATATCTGAATAAATACACTTCTGCTTAACATTTATTGAAACAAGCTAAGATACTAACAACATTTTTATTTAAATGTCATGTGTCTTTTTATGCTAGAAGAAACTGCTATTTACTTGATCATTTTCTTACACAAAGTCACCTTGCAGAGGCATGTTGTGAAGTTCTCTCTCCTTCCGCCCATGATACCAGTCAGTGGTGGAGTGTCTCAATCACCCATTTCTCCTCACACCCAGACTCTCAGGGGATTACAGGTTTGGGAGGATGGGGTGAGGAGTTCCAGTCCAGGAAAGGGACTAGGAATCTGAGCAGTTGATGCCTCCTCAGCTGGAGAAGGAGCAAATGAGGAAGAAAATCATCCAATGTCTCAAGCTGACCAGATATCTCAGATGTGTCAGAGTACATTACCCCAAACGTGGCCATGTGAATGTGAGTCGAGAGACATGAAGAGAAGAAATACAAGAAACAGTGCAGTGAGGGTAAGCAAGCACTGCAGCAGCTTGCTTGATGGCAGAGCCAGGACATTACATGGCACCACAAGCCAGGGGACCCGAGTGAGAGCAAAAAAGAGGATGGGAATTGTGAAAAGCTCAAAGGATTTCCATTAACCCCTCACTCCCAACAGCATCCCCTCCCCTTAGGCCAGGATTCAAAGGGCTGTGACTCCAGCCTTTTATTTACTGCTTTATTTTTCTGAAATTGATGTGGCTATAGCAAATGGTTATTTACAAATAGTAATAGCAATAGTAAACTGGATCAATTAGGAGTTAAATCCTGATTCAGGCTCTCATTGGCAGCGTGGCTGGGATAGGCTCTTGACTTCCAAATCTTAGTTTCCTTAACTGCAATACATAAAGTTGATCCTATATGTAACTATCTTTTGGAATTGTAAACTGTAAGTGAAATAATTGCCTTTTATTGAATAATTTCTAAGTGCTTTATAAGCCTCATCATATATTAATCTGTGCAACACCCCATGAGTGGGTTGCTTATAGAAAGTGGAACTAACAGGGAAGATGGCTAAGATTTCTGATACTACAAAACTAGAAAATTACAGAGCTGCTCTCAAACTCAGGTATACTTGGTTTTGAAGTAAATATTTTTGACCCCTGCCTGTCAAAAGGTAAACATTTAAATGTTTCCTGCTATCATTATTAATATTAAAAAATGAAAACTGGAAAAATACAAAATGACTAATGATAAAAATAATTACTATTATCACTGTTCTAATAACAATACATATTTATTGAGTACCAGCATACGGTCAGAGCCTTTGCATATATCATCTCATTCAATTGTGAAACATCTTTTATTTACTTATTTTTTTTGAGATGGAGTCTGTCACTCTGACGCCAGGCCAGAGTGCAGTGGCATAATCTCTGCTCACTGCAACCTCCGCCTCCCAGGTTCAAGCGATTCTCCTGCTTCAGCCTCCTGAGTAGCTGGTACTACAGGTGCGTGCCACCACACCCAGTTAATTTTTGTATTTTTAGTGGAGACGGGGTTTCACCATGTTGGCCAGGATCGTCTCGATCTCTTGACCTCGTGATCCACCTTCCTCGGCCTCCCAAAGTGCTGAGATTACAGTCGTGAGGCACCGTGCCCAGCCATGAAACATCTTTATGAGGCTAGGAGCATTATTATTCCATATTCAAAGATGAGCATACTGAGGTACAGAATGTTGCAATAACTTGCTCATGATTACATAGGTAGTAAATGGAGGAGTGAAAATCCAGACCATGTCAATGTGACTGGAGAATCTGCAGAAATGAGCACTCATCTATACTGCCTGCCCCCACTTAATCCAACTTCTCTTTCTTAACCAGGTTCTTACATTATTCTGTTTCTGTGTGTGTGTGTGTGTGTGCATTTCAATTGTAGTATTCATATTAAAATATTCAAAAGTTGTATTCATAATGTATTTCACATTTTACGCTGCTTTTTTCTTCCAGCGTTCTCTCATGAGTTTTTCCTATATTCCTTTTCAGTTGCCATAATTATATTTATTTTATTCATGAATAACATTATATACAGTAATGTTCTAAAATTGTGGAGGTATTCTTCTATGATTGGGCATTTTATTTAGCTTGTATTTGATTTTTACCTAACATAAATAACTGTACAATTTATTTTTATAGATATGAGCTTTTAGTTATCAAATTATTTCTAAGCTAAATTTTCAGAAGATAAATTATTACATTAAAGTATATGAAACTGTTTATGACTTCTTATACATAATATCCAATACTTCACTGAACTGTCACCACATTCTCCAATAATAGCATCAAAAGAGAATATCAAGAAAATAACTGTAAAAAGAAGAAATCTCTTTTTTGTTTACATGTGTATATATATATATATAGAGAGAGAGAGAGAGAGAGAGCCAAATGATGCTTCAATAGCCACTGGAATGTGCACGGCATGAGAGCGTGCATACAGCAGAAATGATGAGTTATGGAGTTCCCAAAATCATTTCTGTACCCTGAGCCCCAGCAACACATGTAAACAGCTTGCCAAGGCTTTCTTGGATTCAGAGGCCACTGAATAGCACACCTAACCCATCCCAAAGTCAATAGGGAACACTCAACCTTGGGCTCATTAACATTGTGCCATAACCTATAGAGCTAATTTTCCAACAAATGCCTCACAGCAGGTACTTAATAAGTTCTTGTTTCCCATCTTTTGCTCAGTCTCATATGCCCACATTCTCTCCTGCTCCTCAGAGTTCCCAATAGCCTCAAACTTCAAACTTTACAAACCATTTTTCATTTTCCATAATAGCTTCACAAAAATCTGACTCTTTTAAAGATCTTTTCATTTGGAGAATATGGGAAAGGATTTTATCAACATTTTCTGAGCCATTATTTCTCTGGATCTATCAACTTTTTGTGTCATTCTACCTTATCTCTCTCTTTTTAAAAATTATTTTTAAATAATTGTATGTATTTTAGAAGTTTAACATGACGTTTTAATATACATTCATATACATAGTGAAATGATTACTACAGTCATGAAAATTAACATATCCATCTCCTCACATAGTTACCATTTTCTTTCTTTTTTTGTGGCAAGAGCACATGAAATCTCCTTTTTTTTTTTTTTTTTTTTTTGAGACGGAGTCTCACTCTGTCTCCCAGGCTGGAGTGCTGTGGCACGATCTTGGCTCACTGCAAGCTCCACCACCCGGGTTCACACCATTCTCCTGCCTCAGCCTCCCAAGTAGCTGAGACTACAAGCGCCCGCCACCACGCCTGGCTAATTTTTTTTTTTTTTTTGTATTTTTAGTACAGACTGGGTTTCACCGTGTTAGCCAGGATGGTCTCGATCTCCTGAGCTCGTAATCTGCCCGCCTCGGCCTCCCGAAGTGCTGGGATTACAGGCGTGAGCCACCGTGCCCGGCCAAAATCTACTTTCTTAGCAAATTTCTAATGTGCAATACAGAATTTATTACTGACTGTAGTCATCATGTTGTACATTGAATCTCTACACTTCATCCTACGTAACTGCATTTGTGCCCTTTGCCCATCTCTCAATTTTTTTCCCACCTCCTTGCCTCTGGTAACTACAGTTCTACACTCGCATCTATGTCTTTGACTTTTTTAGATGCCACATTTAAGTGGGATGATGCAGTACTCTTTTGTGTGTCTAGCTTATTGCACTTAGCCCAATGTCCATCAGTTTCATCCATGTTATTGCAAATGGCAGGATTTTTTTCATCTGTCTTGAATTTCTGAATTTACAGTTTATCTTGAATACTACAATCTTGGTCAACATTTTATATAGTGAGCATATGCAATAAGTGTGTACTTTGACAACTGAGTTTTTGTATCAGTCTTATAACGGTTATTTTCTGAGGTATTTTTTTTCCTTAGTTGAGGCTTTGATCTTTTGGAGCACAAGGAAGCTGCTTTCTTGATTAGATGTTGTGGTCCACTGGTAACATCGGTAACCTAGCTATTTTGCTCAGGTTCCCTACAAATGATGTAAAAATACAAAACATGCTCCTATAGCGGCATCTGTTTTATTTAGAGCTTTGTAGAATCCATTAAAATATTACCAATGGCTAACTTCAATTTATAAATTCTGTCATATTAGTGAAATATGACTGCATTTTTAAAGAAAACTAAATGCTAAAGTAAGCTTCATGTCTTAATATGAGAGCATTGCTTTAAGTTGTTTTTATATTCTAAGGTAAACATATGTAACGGTTTAAGTGAAAGAAAAACATATCCCAGAGTAAATGTTATCTGATTAGTCCATTTACAACTTCTTTTAGGCTTTACATATGACAAAATTACTCACAAGACTATTCTATCTTGTCCATGGCACAGCTATTTTAAAACACCCCATTATCAAAGGGTTTATTATTATTATTATTTCAGTTGTTTAAGCATTTCTTAAGGCACTATTGTGAGGCTATAATTTGTTCTAGGGGCTAATGAAACAAGGATAAATAAGACAGTGTCCTTCCTTTAGAGGTTTACAGTACAGTAAGAAAAACAAAATATAAGCATACCACCACAGTTCAATGTAACAATTGCTAAGCTGGAGGTATGCACAAAATGGTAACACTTGTGAAACCTTTATTTGCTTTTGATGGCACTAACGTTTGCTGCTATTTTGTTCAGTGTGTGAAATAATGTTGTCTCTCACTTTTCTATTTTTTATTTTACAAGGTCCTCTTGCTTTTCAAGGTAAGCATATAAGGGCCCATATTAAATTTTTACTTCCCTATAATGATGTTGAGATGATAATATTTACTAACTTTCTTTGAATTACAGCAAAAAATAAGAGTTTTTAAAAGGCATTGCTTTTGATCTAGCACCTTGACACTTTGATCTGTCCTTACTTTGAAGATGATTCTAAAAGGAAATTTCAGATATACTCAGGTAAAAAGATTTACATAAAAGACCCCAAACTCTCAGCTGAAAGATATATCATTCTACTATAGAAAAATATGTTTTAAACTTACTCATGCTTTGCCAGACAGTGATGACAATACAAACTTTAGTCTTCCCAAAGGTATACAGATTCCCTTTTTGATATGTAATTTATTATTGCTTAGCAATTCGTTAAGCTTCCAAACAGCTCTTTAAAACTGAGTCAAGAGGCAATACTTACATATATTTGCACACTTGATAGTTTGTTATCTAAACTGATAACTTGGTTTTGAGATATTTTGATATATTAAGAATATAGAGTTCTAACTGTTAATTGAAATTCTCCCTCATCTAATCTATACAAAATAAATTTGATGAAATACTGTTTATTGCTTTCAGAAAGGTAACAATATTGTTCTTACCATATACTTTAAGTGTACACATTTTTGAAATATGATAAACCTGCCCTTACACATCAAGCAGATTCTCTAAGTATTAGCCGGTTAGCTACCTGTTGAAGAAGCTTCTTAGATAGCATTCCCTAAAATGAAATCCCAAACACAGAAAATAAAGATCTTTTAGCTTTACATATTTACATATTTTGTTAATGGCCCTTATTTGGAAGTGTGTAATAAGTTTTGGTTTACATGGCAGTTCATCCCACTAAACTATGGCCTCAGTACCATACAAAACACTCTAGTAATCATATTAATCATATTAGCGAATGAACACGTGATCATCCTCAGATATTAAAAAACAGATATAACAAAATTAAATGTAGAAACTTTCTTCATGCCCTGTTTATTGCTTTTATGTAAAATGTAGTGTTGAATTGAGAAAAGGGTTTTTAAATGTAATTGGAATAAGAGAAGTCACATTTTTAAAAAAGAAGGAAGAGGGTCCCTTAATGCTTACTGTGTTGCCATTAAATTACAAGATAAACCAACAGGCATAAAAAAAGTTTTAGGATTTTTTTCATTAGATTTGCCATGCTCATTAGTCTTTGAGTTAAGACTTTGCTTCTGTCTGTTTTACGAAGATTTAGTTACAGTTTATAGAAGTGAAGAGGAAGTAGGAAATGATGTGGGAAATTGCCTTGCTAAGAACCCTGGTTTATAGTGGTGATAAACATAAGTCAAAGAGTCCAACAATCTTGAAATTGATTTTTATGCAATGAACAGATGGCGAGCCACATAAAAAATACTTAAAGAGTAAATACTGTAATATGGAGAAATACTTATGCTACTGTGTTAATTGCAAAAGGAAAATATACACTTTTACAACAATTAGTTCTGTATGAACAAATATTTATTGATCCTACTATATGCACAGTACTTTGTTAGTTGCTAGAAATACAGTAATGGTTAAGACAGAGAGTTCTTGCTTTTTTAGAGCCTACAACCTAGTTAGGTTTGTGTGGGAGTGGGAGGCTGCATGCAGGCAATTAAACAGCTATTTAATGGAAATGTTTTAAGTCCTAGAAGGGGGAAGTTGCAAGCTGCCTTGGAAACTACTGTGTGAAAACAATTTTAAATCAAAGAACCTAGGAAGGCTTCTAGGAGGAAAATCTCATAAAATGCATTTCAATTAAATTTTAAAAATAGATGGGATGTCAAGCTACTACCTGTGATTATGTCTAGGAATAAAACTATATACAGCAGATCTCACTTTTTTTTCTATTTTTCTCTATGTTTCAAATTGGTACTATTTAGTGGAGATAGCTTCTATAATGGGAAAAATAAATTATAGATTAAGATGACAAAACAACAATAAAAGGATATAAGTTAACTTAGGTACAAAGATGTTAAAGAAAATAAAGAACAGGAACTTGCATAGGAAGAATTTCCAACAGATCTAAATTATGTACTGGTTAAATGTGTACACCTATATGCTCATTTTAGGCAGTAGGCCAAGGTGCAACAAGACACTTAGATATAATAGAATGTTAAAATAACTCCAAGATGGAGAAAATCAAGAAGCCAACTGCCCCTCTTCATAGCTGTTCTCAATCAGCCTCTCAGTCCCTCTCTTTCTCTGTCAACATATTTAGTATCTACTATCCACATGATTCCTTTTCATCCTTCTCTGAAGAGTGAAGTTATGTGCCAATTTTGTTTATTTATTTATAATGGAACTTTTTAAATAACTCATTTTTATGACATATTTGTGATATTTAGTATAGAATAATGTGCATAACTTTTTAGAATATTAAAATTTTCCCCAAATACTGGATGTACTTAAAGATCTCAAGGATTAATTTATACTTCAAATGGTACAATAAACAAAATAAACAATAACTTTACAAATGAGAATTGTATGATGACAAAATATTCTGTATCTATACCACATTTTGTGCCTAATATATAGTAGATTCAGTAAATTAGTCTTAATGACTGATGAAACAAATGAATAAATTAAAATATTGCTACATATAGACTAATACTTTCAGCCAGACAAAAATTTACTCCTTTAACTTCAAAATACTCATGAGTCTGTTGTTATTAGTTCACTCAATAAAATTGATCATAAGGATGTGAGTACACTTATGTTCATTGTCTATAATTATGTAAAAGATGTCTTGTTGTATTACTTTTAAAACACTGAAAAGATATTTAGGTGAAAACTTTATTTGCTTTGAAATCATAAAAGCATACAGAAAATAATCAACAATTTATTTAATAATTTTAGAAATGTTACTTTATTTGCACATGAAGTAATGAAATTATCTTCGAAACCAGCAAATGGGTGAGTTCCTCCTTGTGGTGCATAAAATTCACTTGAGCTATGGTCATGTACTTTATAAGTATGTGTTTACCTTTTCATTTGATCCTCTGAGAAATGAATGGCTAATATGAATCTCGAAGTCAAGATAGTATCAGTAAAATTAAAGTCAAGAATAAAACACTAACTAGATTAGTGGGGTAAAGAACTCAGAAAAGAGAAGAACCAGATATACCTAATATTGGTATGATGAGTTAATGGGTGCGGCACACCAGCATGGCACATGTATACATATGTAACTAACCTGCACATTGTGCACATGTACCCTAAAACTTAAAGTATAATAATAAAAAAAAAAAAGAAAAGAGAAGAACCTTAGTTATTTAACACTCTAATGGGTGGTTAACTTATCATCATAGAGAAGTCAAGCAAATCTTTGGTAAAATTAGAACCATCATCATAGTAAAAATGAAATGGGTTTTTATATTACCAAAGAGCATTAACAAAGGATGCTCATATTTTATTAATTTTGGAAACTCATATAGTCAATACTAATTCTTTAAGGCATTATTAATATTTGGAAACAATGTGATTTACTCTCTCTGTGCATGTAAATATATATATATATGTACATGGTTATTTAGATAACAGAATTTTTTTCTAATTTGAAGTGTTCATTTGAGCAATATAGTAATCAAATTCAACAATACTTCAGAGTTGTGTTTTAGATCTAAATTCAAATATTAAACTATACCATTGCAGTATCACACAAGAATATGAGGAGACTTCAAAAAGTTTGTGGAAAATAAAATTTAAAGATAAAAATACAAACATAAACTGAATTTCTCAGCATAAGCTCTATCAAGTTTAAGACACTTTTGTAAGCAATGATATCAGTCATTTAGTTCAACCTTAAAAAACTGAGGGTCTTAGGAATGTAACCATGTCAATGCAGTTTTTTTACATTATTAACTGAAGAAAAATGAGTGCCTTTCAAAGATTTTTTGATTAGGAAATATAAACAAGTCAGAATGAGCCAGATCAGGACTGTACAGGGAATGCCTAATGATTTTCTACAGAAACTCACAAAATTGCCCTTGTTAGATGAAAGGAATGAGCAGGAGTGCTATGATGGTGGAGAACTCCTCTCTGGTGAAGCTTTCCCAGGCATCTCTTTATTAAAGCTTTGGCTATCAAGACACTCTCATAATAAGCAACTTTTATTACTCTTTGGCCCTCCAGAAAGTCATCAAACAATATTCCTTGCATATTCCAAAAAACTGTTGCATGATATTTGCTCTTGACTGGTTCACTTTTGCTTTAACTGAACCACTTTTACCTCTTGATAGCCACTGCTCTGATTGTGCTTTGACTTCAGGATCATACTGGTAAAGCCATGTTTCATCTTCTATTATAGTTCTTCCAAGAAATTCTTCAGGACCTGGATCTCACTTGTTTACCATTTCCCTTGAAAGCTCTGCTCTCATCTGCAGCTGATCTGGACGTGATGATTTGGCAACTATTGAGTAGAAAATGTGCTCAACTTTAATTTTTCAGTCAGGATTGTATAAACTGAACCAATTAAGGTGTCTACAGTGTTGGCTATTGTTTCCCCTGTTAATCATTAGTCCTCTTCAATCAGGACATAAACAAGATGAATTTTTTTCTCACAAGTTGATGTTAGATGGTCTACCATTAGCGGCTTAATCATCAACATTGTCTTGTCCCTTCTTCAAAAGTTCTCCATTTGTAAACTGCTAATTCTTTAGAGCTTTGATCCCATAAACTTTTCATAAAGCATCAATTATTTCACCATTCTTTCACCCAAGCTTCATCATAAATTTAATGTTTGTTCTTCAGTTTTATCAAAATTTATGTTGCTCTGATAGGGGACTCTTCAAACTGATGTATTATCTATCTTAGTGCTTCAAAGTCGATCAGGTTCAGACATGATATAACAAGTTAATATGAACTTATTTTGGTGTAAAAAAATTAACATCCGTGCATCATTTTTCCATAATATGTATTTTCCATAAACTTTTTGAGGAACCTTAATATTGAGCCAGTAATATAAAATGGAAACTATATAAAAATGCTGGTTTCACAGTCAAAATTAGTTGAACATTATTATTTTTATATGACATGATATAACATTTTAAATTAATAGACTCACATAACAAATGTGCACTTGTACCCCCAAATCTAAAATAAAGTTGAAATTATGCAAAAAGGCTTAATAGACTCATTTTAAGAATTATTTTGAATTTGCAGAAACTGTGCGCAGATAATATAGTCTCCATATACTCCCTACCACATACACACAATTTCCCCTCTTACTAACATCCTGTATTAGTGTGGTACATAGTCACAGTTAATGAACATATTGATATATTGATACATTATTATGAAGTATAGTTCATAATTTATACTAAGGTTCACCTTTTGTTGTACACTTCTATGTTTTTCACAAATGCATGTTGTGTATCCACCATTACAATCTCATACAGAATATTTCACTGCCCTAGAAAACCTCTGTGCTTAATCTATTCACCCCACTCTCTCTCTTTCAAAACCCGGGCAACCACTGACCTTTTTAACCTTATCTACAGTATTGTCTTTTCCAGAATGTCACAGTCAGAATCATATTATATACAGCCTTTTCAGACTGATTTTTTTTCTTTTACTTAGCAATATGCTTTTAAGGTTCTTCAATGTCTTTTTGTGGCTTAATAGATCATCTCTCCTTATTGTCAAATAATACTCCGTTTCATGTAATATATAGGGTATTTGTTAATCCATTCAACCTACTGAAAGGTATCTTGGTTGCTTCTTTCTAGTTTTTGGCAATTGTGAATAAAGCTGCTATATGCATTCATGTGCATGTTTATATGCAGATATAAATTTTCAAACTCATTAGGTAAATACCTAAGAATGGGACTGCTGCATCATATGGTAAGACTGTTTAGCTTTGTAAGAAATCGCCAAACTGTCTTCCAGTATCACTATACCATTTTGCACTCCCACCAGCGATGAATAACTTTTTCTTTTCCCTCTGGTATTCCTGTTACATGCATTTATACCTTTTGTAATTGTCCCACAGTTCAGGATATTGTGTTTTAATTTTTTGTCTTTATTTTTCTTTTGTCTTCGCATTTCAGTTTGGGAAGTATTTATGAACATATCTTGAAGCTCACTGATTTTTTTTAATTGGTGGTGCACACTCTAGCTAGGAGTCCATCAAAGGCATCTGCCATTTCTATTACAGTAGTTTTGATTTCTTGCATTTCCTTTTAATTCTCTTTCAGAGTTTTCATTTCTCTACAATGTTCATCTATTCTTGCATGTTGTCTACTTTTTCTATTAGAGCCCTTAACATTTTAATCATTATTTAAATTCATTTTCTGCTAATTACAGAATTAATGTTATATTCACATTGGGTTCTGATTCTTGCTTTGCTTCTCCAGATTTTTTTTTCCCTCTTACCATGTTTTTAAATGTTTTGTTGAAAGCCACACAGGATGTATTGGGTAACAGGAACTGAAATAATTAGGCTTTTAGTATGAGGACCTATGTTAATCTTGCTAAGAACAATGCCATACAAGGTGTAGTTGCCAGATGCATCAGTTTCTTCTAGTTCCCTCTCTGTTTCTTCTCCTATTGTCTTTGGATTTCACTAAGAACTCCTTCAATAGTTTGTGTGTCTTCCAGCTCTCTCAGTTGTAATCCACTGTTCTTATAACAGAGCACTGTTGATGTGATGGTAAAATGTTAGGGACAGGAAGCATTCTGTAATTTTATGATTAAATCTCAGTGTTTAGTCAGTCTCTCTAAGCTGTGATGTTCAGCATTTCTTAGCCTTTATTCTCTCTCCTTACAGGAGACAGGAATGCTAGAGTTGGCTAATCGTTTTTCCTTCCAAGTCATATAAAGCTCTGGTAAAGTAGTTTCATTTAGAGAGCAGGCCTTTATTATGGAGAATGCTCTGGGCACTTTAGTTACTTTTCCTTTCGCTAGACCTGCATAAGACTTGGCCCCCAAAGGCCACTCCACCCTGTAATCTAGTGGTTAGGGTTTGGTACTTCCAACACTGTGGCCGAGGTTCAATTCTCAGTCAGGGGATCAGTCCCCTGGAGATCTAAATTCTTTAACTCAAAAGGAAAAGAAGTGGGGAGACTGGGCTCCCAGAAATTTCTAATTCTCAAACTATATGCAACCAGGCTGTGTATTCAAACTAGTTTACTAGAGGCTGCATGTAAACTGGTTTGAGTTTACAAGCAGCCTCTAGCAAATCATCAAAACTACTATTTAAGTGTTCCTACCAGTCACTGGGTCCAGTGGCTTCTGCTTCAGGTAAGCTGACCTTGGCTGTGATTCTCTCTATTGACCTGTCTCTCCATATTTCAGAGTGACAATTTGCCCTGGGACTTCAATTTTAAGATGGCTCTAAGAAAATTCATGTTAATTTGCTTATCTTTTTACTTGTGGGGACAAGAGTGACAGCTTTTTGTATGTCAGAGCTGAAACTGAAAATATAACATAACTTTTTAAGGAAAACATTGCCCAATAGTAAAAGCTCCCATGCAATTTTAATATAATGGAGGGAAAAATAAAAACTTCCATCAAATTATTCATTTGGCTTTCCATTAATTCACTAAACAGCATTTATCGCAGTATTCTAATTTTGGACATATGATTTTCTCATCATACATAATTTTCACAAAAGTGTCACAAAATAATCCCAAACCCCTAAAATGTCAATCATCTAGGACAGTTATTTACAGGCCATTGTTGCTACAGCTTTTTTCAGTTACACAGTTTTACAGTGCTAAGGTTCAAATGGCCCACGGATCACACTTTTTTTCACCAAAAAATATCATGAGCAGTCTCCTAGATAAATTTCAGATATTTATTTAAATTTAGGGACAGTGCTAATTACTATTAAACTTTCTCTATCATTGAACAAAATTTATATTTCCTCTTGAGTAGTGTCATTGCTAATTTCTTTGTCTATTTCACATTTCATAGTTCCCAGCACTTATTTTATGTATACCACAATCTCATGAACAAAACTCTTTTGCCATGTTTTTTAGATCTGTATATTCATGTGTTTCATCACCTCTGAAAATTCCTAGTCATTATTCCTAAGTGTATTTCCCCTCTTCTACATTCTCTATTCTTGCTCTCTGGAACTCAAATTAGATCTTCTAGTTGTAGTTTTCTTTAATTTCTCTTTCATATTTTCTGGAAGCTATCTTATCTGTGCTGAATCCTAGGTAATTCCTTCAGCTATATCTTCGGAATAATTCTGCATTCAGCTATGTAGAAACCCTTTACATTTCTGCACTGAGGTTTTTATGTATGTTTTTGTTGCTGTTGTTGTTTTAGTCTTCATGTTTTTCATATCTGAAAGTTCTATTGTTTCTTTTTCAAATGTGCCTGCTCATCCCTAAAAATCACTTATTTAATGCCTTTAAAAAACATTTTTTATGGTTGCATAGTATTCCATGTGTATATGTACCATATTTTCTTTATCCAGTCTATCATTGATGGGCATTTAGGTTGATTCCATGTCTTTGCTATTGTGAATACTGTTGCAATGAAAATACCTGTGCATGTGTCCTTATAATAGAATGATTTATATTCCTTTGGGTATATACTCAGTATTAAGATTGCTGGGTTATATTGAATTTCACTAGATCTGGTAGTAGTAATTGCACCAAGATGAGCTGAATCTTTAGAATACGTTGCAAGACGAAATGCAACTAATATATCTGCCAAATTGTTTTTCTCATGAATGACATCCACTTTCAGTTTTGTTTCAGAATGATATTCCCTAAACTGGAAAAAAAAATTTTGTTTTTAACCATTATATAGCCTATATCTGAGAGTTCTTGCAGTTTGTGATGGGTGGTGGAGTGACTAACTATGTTAATTGTTACAGCTGACACAACTTGCTTGTGGTTTCACTCATTATATGCTTGTTTACCTCTGTAAACTCATTGCTTGATTTTAATTGTAGAAATCTTATAAATGTATTGATAATGGTTTCTTTTAGGGAAGTTTTACACCTTCTAGGAGAGGCAAAAGTTGCCAATGATCTGGAACTGTTTAACTCCAACGAAAGCCCCAGATCCACGTGAGAGCTCCAGGCTCAGCTTAGAAACCTGGCTGTTGGCCTGAGAATCAGTGCTCTATTGCAATACTTCTTTTGGTATCTGTCTCCAGGACAACTTCATTCCTTCATGTACCTCATTACTTTCTGTTTTAGCTCAGACACAAGCTCACAGGTAATAAAGATGAGGAGGAGGCAGAACAGGAGAAGAACGAAGAAGAATTTGAATTTTCAGTATCAATGGAAAACTTGCTTACATTTGCAAGTTGTGCTTAGATCAAAAATCTGTGTTATTTTGGACCTAGTTTTCTGATATAGGAAGTTCTATCAGAACATGTAGTTTACCAGAGGCAGATACTCCAAAGGACTTTCTTTTTAGAATCCACGATGCATTGCTATCTCATATTCAATCTATTGGTCAACTAATTACTCTTAGTAATTTAATATAGCATGCTATTAATTCTTGCATATTGCATATATTGACAATAGAATTTTAACTATAAATGTAATACTTTACATTTCAATTAATATTAAATTGAATTTCACTGTTTCAATCCAGCAAATATATATTATTTTAATCTTAACTGTTGCACTGAATAAATTTCTGATTCTTCTTTGCATTAGGTTATCTGCAAATCTGATACACTAATAAAAGAAGGAGCAAATTAGTCTAGGCTGATGACTCCCTTCCATAACCCAGCTCTAGAAATGCTATGGAATTAAAAAGAAACTCTGAAAAACTAGAAAGACTACAGAAAATCCTTGGGGGACAGTTGAGACAAAGCGCTCCCAGGCAGTGGAGGGCAGATTAGCTTGAGAGAGTGAGAAAGAGGATTTAAATTATATTTTTATTTTTTTGCCACATTGCCTTTGGTGGATGATTTCCCGTGTTTATAACACTAATATAGGATGCCACTAGAAAAAATGGAATCCCTTAATGTATTAAAAATGACACATTTTGAGTAAGTGTTTTTCAGGAAGGCAATAAAAATTCTATATAATCAACATACTTCATCATGTAAAGACCCTGCTCTAAAGATCCAAAATTGACACACTAACATCATAATTAAAAGAACTAGAAAAGCAAGACCATACACATTCAAAAGCTAGCAGAGGGCAAGAAATAACTAAAATCAGAGCAGAACTGAAGGAAATACAGACACAAAAAACCCTTCAAAAAATTAACGAATCCAGGAGCTGGTTTTTTGAAAGGATCAACAAAATTGATAGACTGCTACCAAGACTAATAAAGAAGAAAAGAGAGAAGAATCAAATAGACGCAATAAAAAATGATAAAGGGGATATCACCACCGATCCCACAGAAATACAAACTACCATCAGAGAATACTACAAACACCTCTATGCAAATAAACTAGAAAATCTAGAAGAAATGGATAAATTCCTCGACACATACACCCTCCCAAGACTAAACCAGGAAGAAGTTGAATCTCTGAATAGACCAATAACAGGCTCTGAAATTGTGGCAATAATCAATAGCTTACCAACCAAAAAGAGTCCAGGACCAGAAGGATTCACAGCTGAATTCTACCAGAGGTACAAGGAGGAACTGGTACCATATCTTCTGAAACTATTCCAATCAATAGAAAGAGAGGGAATCCTCCCTAACTCATTTTATGAGGCCAGCATCATCCTGATACCAAAGCCTGGCAGAGACACTACAAAAAAAGAGAATTTTAGACCAATATCTTTGATGAACATTAATGCAAAAATCCTCAATAAAATACTGGCAAACCGAATCCAGCAGCACATCAAAAAGCTTATCCACCATGATCAAGTGGGCTTCATCCCTGGGATGCAAGGCTGGTTCAATATATGCAAATCAATAATTGTAATCCAGCATATAAACAGAACCAAAGACAAAACCCACATGATTATCTCAATAGATGCAGAAAAGGCCTTTGACAAAATTCAACAACCATTCATGCTAAAAACTCTCAATAAATTAGGTATTGATGGGACGTATCTCAAAATAATAAGAGCTATCTATGACAAACCCACAGCCAATATCATACTGAGTGGGCAAAAACTGGAAGCATTCCCTTTGAAAACTGGCACAAGACAGGGATGCCCTCTCTCACCACTCCTATTCAACATAGTTTTGGAAGTTCTGGCCAGGGCAATTAGGAAGGAGGAGCAAATAAAGAGTATTCAATTAGGAAAAGAGGAAGTCAAACTGTCCCTGTTTGCAGATAACATGATTTTATATCTAGAAAACCCCATTGTCTCAGCCCAAAATCTCCTTAAGCTGATAAGCAACTTCAGCAAAGTCTCAGGATACAAAATCAATGTACAAAAATCACAAGCATTCTTATACACCAATAACAGACAAACAGAGAGCCAAATCATGAGTGAACTCCCATTCACAACTGCTTCAAAGAGAATAAAAGACCTAGGAATCAACTTACAAGTGACGTGAAGGACCTCTTCAAGGAGAACTACAAACCACTGCTCAATGAAATAAAAGAGGATACAAACAAATGGAATAACATTCCATGCTCATGGGTAGGAAGAATCAATATCATGAAAATGGCCATATTGCCCAAGGTAATTTATAGATTCAATGCCATCTGCATCAAGCTACCAATGACTTTCTTCACAGAATTGGAAAAAACTACTTTAAAGTTCATATGGAATCAAAAAAGAGCCCGCATTGCCAAGTCAATCCTAAGCCAAAAGAACAAAGCTGGAGGCATCACACTACCTGACTTCAAACTATACTACAAGGCTACAGTAACCAAAACAGGATGGTACTGCTACCAAAACAGAGATATAGATCAATGGAACAGAACAGAGCCCTCAGAAATAATGTCGCATATCTACAACTATCTGATCTATGACAAATCTGAGAAAAACAAGCAATGGAGAAAGGATTCCCTATTTAATAAATGGTGCTGGGAAAACTGGCTAGCCATATGTAGAAAGCTGAAACTGGATCCCTTCCTTACACCTTATACAAAAATTAATTCAAAATGGATTAAAGACTTAAATGTTAGACCTAAAACCATAAAAACCCTAGAAGAAAACCTAGGCATTACCATTCAGGACATAGGCATGGGCAAGGACTTCATGTCTAAAACACCAAAAGCAATGGCAACAAAAGCCAAAATTGACAAATGGGATCTAATTAAACTAAAGAGCTTCTGCACAGCAAAAGAAACTACCATCAGAGTGAACAGGCAACCTACAAAATGGGAGAAAATTTTCGCAACCTACTCATCTGACAAAGGGCTAATATCCAGAATCTACAATGAACTCCAACAAATTTACAAGAAAAAAACAAACAACCCCATCAAAAAGTGGGCGAAGGACATGAGCAGACACTTCTCAAAAGAAGACATTTATGCAGCCAAAAAACACATGAAAAAATGCTCACCATCACTGGCCATCAGAGAAATGCAAATCAAAACCACAATGAGATACCATCTCACACCAGTTAGAATGGCAATCATTAAAAAGTCAGGAAACAACAGGTGCTGGAGAGGATGTGGAGAAATAGGAACACTTTGGCACTGTTGGTGGGACTGTAAACTAGTTCAATCATTGTGGATGTCAGTTTGGCAATTCCTCAGGTATCTAGAACTAGAAATACCATTTGAACCAGCCATCCCATTACTGGGTATATATCCAAAGGACTATAAATCATGCTGCAGACACATGCACACGTATGTTTATTGAGGCACTATTCACAATAGCAAAGACTTGGAACCAAGCCAAATGTCCAACAATGATAGACTGGATTAAGAAAACGTGGCACATATACACCATGGAATACTATGCAGCCATAAAAGAAGATGAGCTCATGTCCTTTGTAGGGACATGGATGAAATTGGAAATCATCATTCTCAGTAAACTATTGCAAGGACAAAAAAACCAAACACTGCGTGTTCTCACTCATAGGTGGGAATTGAACAATGAGAACACATGGACGCAGAAAAGGGAACATCACACTCTGGGGACTGTTGTGGGGTGGGGGGAGGGGGGAGGGATAGCTTTAGGAGATATACCTAATGCTAAATGACGAGTTAATGGGTGCAGCACACCAGCATGGCACATGAATACATATGTAACTAACCTGCCCATTGTGCACATGTACCCTAAAACTTAAAGTATAATAAAGAGTGATAACACAAAACAAAACAAAACAAAACAAAAACAAAAAAAAAGACACTGCTCTAGGCACTGAGATTAAAGCAAAAAATAAATAAACAGAAATCTTGCCCTCATGGAATTTATATTTTGATAGATAAAATAATACTGACACATCATAGTGCCTCCTATAACATGTTAGACCTGGTTCTAAGTGCTTTTATTTACCTTTGCTCATAGAACTTTTACAGCACCCATATGAATTCAGTGCTAGTGTTATTAATATTTCCCTTTACTCATGAGATCTGAAGGGCAGAGGAATTATGAAAGTTACCTGAAGTCCCATAGTTTGTGAGTGTGGTGGAGCCCAGGTTCCAACTGTGCAGTCTCCTATGGAACTATGCATGGAACTAGAAAATAAGTTGATGAGTTATCACTTATTCCCATTAGAATAACAAAAATTAAAGAGGGGATGTCATCGCATGTTTCCTAAGAAGTAGAAAAGATGATAACTCTAGACTGATTAAACTGGTTCAGCCATTTTGGAAAGTCATATTGGAAGTTTTAGAAAAGTTTAAGAAATGTGGTCTGTGACCCAGTGCTTGCACTCCAAATTTCATGCATGGTTCTTCCATGATGTTTATCATAGTGTTGTAGGGTGGTGCAAAAAGTTGAAGAAACCCTGCCTAAACCTAATGTAATGATGAATACAATGAAATAAATTCTGTTAAAAGCAACAAACTGGAGGTACATTCAGCAATAATAAACACACCTCAAATTCACAGTGTTGAGTAAGTAGAGTAGAAACAGAATAAAGCATTCTTTAGTTAGCTTAAAATACTTACAGACACATAGATATTTAAGGGATTCATAAATATTTAAGGGTGTATTTCAAACATCTCATAGAGGGTGAATGGAATGAAAATGTAGATGAGGGAAGGAGATATAAGTAAAAAAAAACCACAGAATGGATTTTCACAGATTGAGAACAAAAAGCTGTGGGCCAAAAAATGTGACTAGCTCTATTTTATATGTGAAGAATAAAGATTCAATCAATTGATATAGTCATATGGGGAGCCAAGATGGCCGAATAGGAACAGCTCCAGTCTACAGCTCCCAGAGTGACCGACGCAGAAGACGAATGATTTCTGCATTTCCAATTGAGGTACCAGGTTCATCTCACTGGGGATTGTCAGACAGTGGGTTCAGGAGAGTGGGTGCAGCGCACCAAGTGTAAGCCCAAGCAGGGCAAGGCAATGCCACACCCGGGAAGCACAAGGGGTCAGGGAATTCCCTTTCCTAGCCAAGGAAAGGGGTGACAGATGGCACCTGGAAAATCGGGTCACTCGCACCCTAATACTGCACTTTTCCAATGGTCTTAGCAAACGGCACACCAGGAGATTATATCCCATGCCTGGCTCAGAGGGTCCTACACCCACGGAGCTTCACTCATTGCTAGCACAGCAGTCAGATCAAACTGTAAGGTGGCAGCGAGGGTGGGGGAGGGGCGCCTGCCATTGCCAAGGCTTGAGTAGGTAAACAAAGCAGCTGGGAAGCTTGAACTGGGTGAAGCCCACCACAGTTCAAGGAGGCCTGCCTGCCTCAGTTGACTCCACCTCTAGGGGCAGGGTATAGCCAAACAAAAGGCAGCAGAAACCTCTGCAGACTTAAATGTCCCTGTCTGACAGCTTTGAAGAGAGTAGTGATTCTCCCAGCACGCAGCTTGAGATCTGAGAATGGATAGACTGCCTCCTCAAGTGAGTCCCTGACCCCCAAGTAGCCTAACTAGGAGGCACACCCCAGTAGAGGCAGACTGACACCTCACACAGCCGGGTACTCTTCTGAGACAAAACTTCCAGAGGAATGATCAGGCAGCAACATTTGCTGTTCACCAGTATCTGCTGTTCTGCAGCCTCTGCTGCTGATACCCAGGCAAACAGGATCTGGAGTGGACCTCCAGGAAACTCCAACAGATCTGCAGCTGAGGGTCCTGACTGTTAGAAGGAAAACTAACAAACAGAAAGGACATCCACACCAAAACCCCATCTGTACATCACCATCATCAAAGACCAAAGGTAGATAAAACCACAAAGATGGGGAGAAAACAGAGCAGAAAAACTGAAAATTCTAAAAATCAGAGCACCTCTCCTCCTCCAAAGGAACGCAGCTCCTCGCCAACAATGGAACAAAGCTGGACGGGGAATGACTTTGATGAGTTGAGAGAAGAAGGCTTCAGACAATCAAACTTCTCCGAGCTAAAGGAGGAAGTTCAAACTCATGGCAAAGAAGTTAAAAACCTTGAAAAAAGATTAGACGAATGGCTAACTAGAATAACCAATGCAGAGAAGTTGTTAAAGGACCTGAAGGAGCTGAAAACCATGTCACAAGAACTATGTGACGAATGCACAAGCCTCAGTAGCCGATTCGATCAACTGGAAGAAAGGGTATCAGTGATGCAAAATCAAATGAATGAAATGCAGCAAGAAGAGAAGTTTAGAGAAAAAAGAATAAAAAGAAATGAACAAAGCCTCCAAGAAATATGGGACTATGTGAAAAGACCAAATCTACATCTGATTGGTGTACCTGAAAGTGACGGGGAGAATGGAACCAAGTTGGAAAACACTCTGCAGGATATTATCCAGGAGAACTTCCCCAACCTAGAAAGGTAGGCCAACATTCAGATTCAGGAAATACAGAGAACACCACAAAGATACTTCTCGAGAAGAGCAACTTCAAGACACATAATTGTCAGATTCACCAAAGTTGAAATGAAGGAAAAAATGTCAAGGGCAGCCAGAGAGAAAGGTCAGGTTACCCACAAAGTGAAGCCCATCAGACTAACAGCTGATCTCTCAGCAGAAACTCTACAAGCCAGAAAAGAGTAGGGGCCAATATTCAACATTCTTAAAGAACAGAATTTTCAACCCAGAATTTCATATCCAGCCAAACTGAGCTTCATAAGTGAAGGAGAAATAAAATCCTTTACAGACAAGCAAATGCTGAGAGATTTTGTCACCACCAGGCCTGCCCTACAAGAGCTCCTGAAGGAAGCACTAAACATGGAAAGGAACAACCAGTACCAGCCACAGCAAAAATATGCCAAATTGTAAAGACTATTGAGGCTAGGAAGAAACTGCATCAACTAATGAGCAAAATAACCAGCGAACATCATAATGACAGAATCAAATTCACACATAACAATATTAACCTTAAATGTAAATGGGCTAAATGCTCCAATTAAAAGACACAGACTGGCAAATCAGATAGTCAAGACCCATCAGTGTGCTGTATTCAGGAAACCCATCTCACATGCAGAGACACACATATGCTCAAAATAAAGGGATGGAGGAAGATCTACCAAGCAAATGGAAAACAAAAAAGGCAGGGGTTGCAATCCTAGTCTCTGATAAAACAGACTTTAAACCAACAAAAATCAAAAGAGACAAAGAAGGCCATTACATAATGGTAAAGGGATCAATTCAACAAGAAGAGCTAACTGTCCTAAATATATATGTACCCATTACAGGAGCACCCAGATTCGTAAAGCAAGTCCTTAGAGACCTACAAAGAGACTTAGACTCCCACACAATAATAATGGGAGACTTTAACACCCCACTGTCAACATTAGACAGATCAACGAGACAGAAAGTCAAGAAGGATATCCAGGAATTGAACTCAGCTCTGCATCAAGCAGACCTAATAGACATCTACAGAACTCTCCACCCCAAATCAACAGAATATACATTCTTCTCAGCAGCACACTGCACTTATTCCAAAATTGACCACATAGTTGGAAATAAAGCATGCCTCAGCAAATGTAAAAGAACAGAAATTATAACAAACTGTCTCTCAGACCACAGTGCAATCAAACTAGAACTCAGGATTAAGAAACTCACTCAAAACTGCTCAACTACATGGAAACTGAACAACCTGCTCCTGAATGACTACCGGGTATGTAATAAAATGAAGGCAGAAATAAACATGTTCTTTGAAACAAACAAGAACAAAGACACAACGTACCAGAATCTCTGGGACACATTCAAAGCAGTGTGTAGAGGGAAATTTATAGCACTAAATGTCCACAAGAGAAAGCAGGAAAGATCTAAAATTGACACCCTAACATCACAATTAAAAGAACTAGAGAAGCAAGAGCAAACACATTCAAAAACTAGCAGAAGGCACCAAATAACTAAGATCAGAGTAGAAGTGAAGGAAATAGAGACACAAAAAACCCTTCAAAAAGTCAATGAATCCAGGAGCTGGTTTTTTGAAAAGATCAACAAAATTGATAGACTGCTAGCAAGACTAATAAAGAAGAAAATAGAGAAGAATCAAATCGATGCAATACAAAATGATAAAGGGGATATCACCACTGATCCCACAGAAATACAAACTGCCATCAGAGAATAGTATGAACACCTCTATGCAAATAAAATAGAAAATCTGGAAGAAATGGATAAATTCCTCAACACATGTGCCCTCCCAAGACTAAACCAGGAAGAAATTGAATCTCTGAATAGACCAATAACAGGCTCTGAAATTGAGGCAATAATTCATAGCTTACCAACCAAAAAAAGTGGAGGACCAGATGGATTCACAGGCAAATGCTACCAGAGGTACAAGGAGGAGCTGGTACCATTCCTTCTAAAACTATTCCAATCAATAGAAAAAGAGGGAATCCTCCCTAACTCATTTTATGAGGGCAGAATCATCCTGATACCAAAGCCTGGCAGATACACTACAAAAAAAGAGAATTTTAGACCAATATCCCTGAAGAACATCGATGCAAAAATCCTCAGTAAAATACTGGCAAACCGAATCCACCAGCACATCAAAAAGCTTATCCACCATGATCAAGTGGGCTTCATCCCTGGGATGCAAGGCTGGTTCAACATATGCAAATCAATAAACGTAATCCAGCATATAAACAGAACCAACGACAAAAACCATATGATTATCTCAATAGATGAAGAAAAGGCCTTTGACAAAATTCAACAATGCTTCATGCTAAAAACTCTCAATAAATTAGGTATTGATGGGATGTATCTCAAAATAATAAGAGCTATCTATGACAAACCCACAGCCAATATCATAGTGAATGGGCAAAAACTGGAAGCATTCCCTTTGAAAACTGGCACAAGAGAGGGATGCCCTCTCTCACCACTCCTATTCAACATGGTGTTGGAAGTTCTGGCCAGGGCAATCAGGCAGGAGAAGGAAATAAAGTGTATTCAGTCAGGAAAAGAGGAAGTCAAATTGTCCCTGTTTGCAGATGACATGATTGTATATTTAGAAAACCCCATCGTCTCAGCCCAAAATCTTCTTAAGCTGATAAGCAACTTCAGCAAACTCTCAGGATACAAAATCAATGTGCAAAAATCACAAGTATTCTTATACACCAATAACAGACAAACAGAGAGCCAAATCATGAGTGAACTCCCGTTCACAATTGCTTCAAAGAGAATAAAATACCTAGGAATCCAACTTACAAGGGATGTGAAGGACCTCTTCAAGGAGAACTACAAACCACTGCTCAGTGAAATAAAAGAGGATACAAAGAAATGGAAGAACATTCCATGCTCATGGGTAGGAAGAATCAATATCGTGAAAATGGCCATACTGCCCAGGGTAATTTATAGATTCAATGCCATCCCCATCAAGCTACCAATGACTTTCTCCACAGAATTGGAAAAAACTACTTTAAAGTTCATATGGAACCAAAAAAGAGCCTGCATCGCCAAGTCAATCCCAAGCCAAAAGAACAAAACCAGAGGCATCACACTACGCTACTTCAAACTATACTACAAGGCTACAGTAACCAAAACAGGATGGTACTGGTACCAAAACAGACATATAGACCAGTGGAACAGAACAGAGCCCTCAGAAATAATGCCACATATCTACAACTATCTGATCTTTGAAAAACCTGACAAAAACAAGAAATGGGGAAATGATTCCTTATTTAATAAATGGTGCTGGGAAAACTGGCTAGCCATATGTAGAAAGCTGAAACTGCATCCCTTCCTTACACCTTATACAAAAATTAATTCAAGATGAATTAAAGACTTAAATGTTAGACCTAAAACCATAAAAACCCTAGAAGAAAACCTAGGCAATACCATTCAGGACATAGGCATGGGCAAGGACTTCATGACTAAAAACACCAAAAGCGATGGCAACAAAAGCCAAAATTGACAAATGGGATCTAGTTAAACTAAAGAGCTTCTGCACAGCAAAAGAAACTACCATCAGAGTGAACAGGCAACCTACAAAATGGGAGAAAATTGTTGCAATCTACTCATCTGACAAAGGGCTAATATCCAGAATCTACAATGAACTCCAACAAATTTACAAGAAAAAAACAAACAACCCCATCAATATGTGGGCAAAGGATATGAACAGACATTTCTCAAAAGAAGACATTTATGCAGCCAAAAGACACATGAAGAAATGCTCATCATCACTGGCCATCAGAGAAATGCAAATCAAAACCACAAAGAGATACCATCTCACACCAGTTAGAATGGCAATCATTAAAAAGTCAGGAAACAACAGGTGCTGGAGAGGATGTGGAGAAATAGGAACACTTGGACACTGTTGGTGGGACTGTAAACTAGTTCAAACATTGTGGAAGTCAGTGTGGCGATTCCTCAGGGATCTAGAACTAGAAATACCATTTGACCCAGCCATCCCATTACTGGGTATATACCCAAAGGATTATAAATCATGCTGCTATAAAGACACATGCAGACGTATGTTTATTGCGGCACTATTCACAATAGCAAAGACTTGGAACCAACCCAAATGTCCAACAATGACAGACTGGATTAAGAAAATGTGGCACATATACACCATGGAATACTATGCAGCCATAAAAAATGATGAGTTCATGTCTTTTGTAGGGACATGGATGAAGCTGGAAACCATCATTCTCAGCAAACTATCGCAAGGAAAAAAAACCAAACACCACATGTTCTCACTCATAGGTGGGAATTGAACAATGAGAACACATGGACACAGGAAGGGGAACATCACACACCAGGGCCTGTTGTGGGGTGGAGGGAGTGGGGAGGGATAGCATTAGGAGATATACCTAATGTTAAATGACAAGTTAATTGGTGCAGCACACCAACATGGCACATGTATGCATATGTAACAAACCTGCACGTTGTGCACATGTACCCTAAAACTTGAAGTATAATAATAACAAAAGAATCAATCAATTCATCAAGAAAACCAAATAATTTTAGTGAGAATGAAATAGAAAATAAGTATCTATTTTTCCCCAAAATTTTACTGTGAATATAATGTTTTTTTATTTGTCATAATTCTTTTTGCCTCTAGTTCCACTTCCATATTTTTAATCCATCCTAAAAAGCTGCAAGGGTTAACTGAATAACTAGAAAAAATTTACAGAGAAAGTGTAATTGAAATTATTTAAAAAACCAGCCGGCATCACTCTGAACATTTTTATGGCAATGTAAATTCTCTTCATTCAGAAAGCATCTTTTAATATTTTAATTAGGATACTGTGTTATGTGAAAGGAACATCCGATTTTAGAAATGCAAATGAGGGTATGCTATGAAACAAAAATGCAGAATTAAAAAGGTAATATGTAGTTAAGCAACCAGCTATGAAGAGAGAGAATGCTGAGACGAATCAAGGAAATAACCTGATTTTTGAAATGAAAATTGTACTCTTATTTTTCAAATTTAGCACTTTGACAAGGTTAGTGACAGTTTTAATAATTTTTAACTTACAAATGCAATAATTATCTTTGTCTAATAAACTTGATATCGATCAACCAGCATGCGTTTATTGACAGTAACTAGAAGCAGTCACTGCCCCTGTGTCTGTTCCCTACAGCACCTCCAGGCAGCTGAGTAGGTGAAAACACTGTATTAAGTTACTGTCTCCACTTCCATCTTTCCCCCATTTTCCCTTTTGCTCATTGCTACAAAACAAAAAAGACTTTCATTGCAGCTATATGAAATATAGCTGGATTTTACAGTTTTCCCATTTTAAACATGAAGGAATTAAGTATCTAAAAGATTAAAGAACTTGGCCAGTGACTGAGGTGGGACTGAAATCAGTCAAAGCCCATAATCTCAACAACTAGACCACACTGGCTTGGGACTGTGGGCTTGGGGGACTTCCTTCTTCCTAGAAGATAATTTTGACCACATCTTTTTTTTTTTTTTTCCAAAATTAATGTTTTGTTGTTTCTTTGTTGTTGACAGGAAAATAAACCTAGCTAGAAGAAAAACTTCAGAAGAGCCATAAGCCTTTCCTCAATCAGGTGAATAACTGTGAGAACACATTTTTCAGGAGAGAAATCTTATGAAACAGGGAAGATAGAAGAGGAAGAAGCCATACAAGTAACATAGCAGGTGAATAGAGAGCTAGGTGGCCCAAGACAGAAAATGTTCCCTGGAATGGGCTCATATTGCCAGCAAGTGTTGGCCCTGCAGTTCCCCATATCTGGAGATATGTGGCTGTGTTCACTCATCAATGAAAGTGTTCATAGCCAACCCTATGACCACTATCCAGGCCTCATTGACTGAGGAGGACAAGAAATATTAGAACGTAACAATGAAAATATACATTGCAACTTGAAGAGAGATGGACCCAAATAAGGGATTAAAGAACAACATGTTTAACAAGAAAACTATTTATCATCCCAAGTTTCAGGTTCAAATTCTGAATTGTGTTCTCTCAGGTCTACTGCTAAAATCCATGGTTAAACTCTATATTGCATTTTGGATTAGGCAATAAGAAACAAACAACTGACTTACAGAGGAGCTACTCGTAAATATGGTGAAGTCTTAACGTGTAATATATGGTTTATGATGAAACTGAATAGTGTAGCAAGTTATATCTGCCCTTTAGGGTCATATAGACCTTGTCAAATTACAGAGCCCTGGGAACTCATATTATTTATTTGTGAAATAATATTTACAACATACCTTTCATAGAATATTTTGAAGGTTAATTTACATGTTGCAGATAAATAAAGTGCTTTTCACAATACTTGGCCCATATATAGCAAATGGCCAGTGAGCATTGCTATTAATAGCAGTAGTAGTAGTGGTAATAGCATTAAGTATATGAAGTAAGGGGAAGAAATCACACAGTGTATTTTCTGATTCAAAGGTCTTTCACCAATAGTAAGAGATAAGATATGTGTAAAAAAATTGAATTAATTCACATGGCATTATCGTTGAAGTCTTTAGAATGAAGGAGTTCCTCAAGTGAGAAAGGCTGGAAAGAAGACTGAGTACATCTTGGGTATTGCTCAAAGTTTGAAAGGAGGGGACCAAAACAGAAAGAAGTTTTAGAAAGAAGGTTTTAAGCAGAGGTAAAAAACAACAAACCACAGCTAGATGGAAAGGACTGAGAAATAAAAAAAGCACCAATGTTTTTTAAAGTAGCTGGTAATTTCATTTGTAATTAACTTGTATAGAATATTTTTGTAAGCGGGATACAAGTTAGGAATTTAAAAATACTAGGTTTTAGGAATATTTTAGACTATGAAGCTAAATAATAAAAAGGAACTGTCTTTGCCACGTACATAGCTGGATAAAACATGCAGGGTAAACTCTGAAAGAAGACAGTTTAGTATGTGTATTAGTCAGTGTTCTCTAGAGGGACAGAACTAATAGGGTAGATGTATATATAAAGGGGAGTTTATTAATGAGTATTGACTCACACAATCACAAAGTGAAGTCTCACAATAGGCTTTCTGCAAGCTGAGGAGCAAGGAAGCCAGTCCAAGTCCCAAAACTTCAAAAGTGGGAAAGCCCACAGTGCCGCCTTTTGTCTGTGGGCAAGGTCTGAGAGCCCCTGGCAAACCACTGGGGTAAGTCCAAGAGTCCAAAAGCTGAAGAGCTTGGAGTCCAATGTTCGAGGGCAGGAAGCATCCAGTACAGGAGAAAGATGAAGTCTGGAAGACTTAGCCAGTCTAGTTTTTCCATGTTCCTCTGCCTCCTTTTATCCTAGCTTCACTGGCAGATGATTAATTTGTGCCCACCCAGATTGAGGGTGGGTCGCCTCTCCCAGTCCGCTGACTCAAGTGTTAATCTCCTTTAGCAACACCCTCACAGACACACCCAGGATCAATACTTTGCATTCTTCAATTCAATCAAGTTGACACTCAATATTAACCACCACAGTATGGTTTATAGAATATTAACTTTCCTTAGAAAGTAATTCATTACAATAGAATTTGTGGTAATATAAACTGAAAAAAATCAACATTTCACAATAGATAAATGAACAGATGCATTAGAGTATATCTAACATCAGCCTATTATGCAGACATTCATGTAATTTTGTTACAATTAATGGCACGGGGCATTTCCAGTAACAATATAACATAAAAATGCAAGATTCAAATGCGCGCGTGTGTGTGTGTGTGTATACACCTCCCACTGTCCAACACCTTATATGTTGAAATGCAAGATTCAATGCATGCATATACGATCATGCACATGCAAGCAAAAAGAGTGGCAAAAAATACATTAAAATGTTGTCAACATGTTTCAAGATTATGGAGAAATGTTGTTTCGTTCTACGCATTTGTAAACATTTTCCAAGTTTCTAAATCCATGCCTTACTTTTATAATATTTTAAAAAAAAGAGTATTTAAAAAATAATTAAATTCTATGTATACAGCATGATGCCACTGGAAATGGCTATATGGAAATTATGAGCCAAGGGCAGTGGCTCATGCCTGTAATATCAACACTTTGGGAGGCCAAGGCAGGAGAATTGCCCTCTTGGAGTTTGAGGCTGCGGTGAGCTATTATCAAGCCACTGAACTCCAGCCTGAGTGACAGAAAGAGAGATCCTATCGCAAAAAAAAAGAAATTATGTTTTTCAAATTTCTGCTACTGTGACTAACATTGAATAATGTTGGGCAAAACCAGTTCTTTACAGGCAATATGACCAATAGCTTCAAAATCCCCTGTACTAAGCAATGCTAAATGACCTACACAGTCAGTACAAGGGTAGCTTTTTAAAAGCAAAGATGTAGGGTGATTCCCTGAAAAGCAGATCCCATATATAAATGGGGTGTTTAGCCTCACCACTGGCGTGAATGTAGTATAGACAGAAGTTGCTTCCAGCTGGGCGCGGTGGCTGCACCTGTAATCCCAGTACTTTGGGAGGCCGAGGTGGGTGAATCACCTGAGGTCAGGAGTTCGAGACCAGCCTGGCCAACATGGCGAAACCCCGTCTCTATTACAAATACAAAAAATTATCAGGCATGGTGGTGGATGCCTGTAATTCCAGCTACTTGGGAGGCTGAGGCAGGAGAATCACTTGAACCCGGAAGGCGGAGGTTGCAGTGAGCCGAGATTGCGCCATTGCATTCCAGCCTGGGCAACAAGAGGGAAACTCCATCTCAAAAAAAAAAAAAAAAAAAAAAAAGTTGTTTCCTGTTACTCAGCATACCTGTCCACACACTTCCCACTCACGCATGACAATCAGCAAAGTCCTTTATATGATGGAGGTGCAGAGATGCATATTCTATTGAAACCACCACTACAATATTCCCAAAGTAACAATTTGGAACTCAATCCTATTAATTTTTACTTCAATTATTTAGCTTTATGTGTATCTTCCACATTGAAAGGGAAAATAAATTACTCTGGGCCCGAATTTTATCACAATAAGAACAATTAAATATCTTATAAGCTCAGTCTTCTCTAGTGAGTTATAAACAAGTTCCTCTTTCTGAGAAGAAAATTAAATTCTTATTGCATCTGGAAACTCTTGCTAAAATATTTTATTGCTGCTGTTAGGAGGTTTAGAATAATGAAGGCAGAGGTAAAGTAAATATACTATCTCCATTTACTGTCTCTTTAATTGTTGAATTGTCCATTTTAGCACTAGTTTCATAGTTTATTTAATGTCAGTTCATGAAACAGAAGCTGGGGGTAGTGTGTGCTATTGGAATCACACAACCCAAAAAGCAACTAAGAAAATATGAGATCATCTCAAATGAACCACATTTATTTTTAATTTCATAGCAGACATGCTTACAAGATTCAGCAAATGTTCAACTCTAGCTATCATGGGAGAAGCAGTAGAACTTGGTTTAGACTGGGTAATAAAGGGAAATAGAAAACAGCAAATGCAGAGAATACTTAGCTAAAGAATTATAGGGCATATGAATTGCATATTTTCCTGTTTTTTTCCTATTAATTGAAATTTTACTGAATTTGAAGACAAATTAGAATGCCTCATTCAATTTCACTGAAAATATGTCATTTTCAATACGAATAGTCATTCAAATTAATTCATTCAAATTGTGTGTAACATCCACTTTGTGGATGGCATTTACACTAAGGCTGTTAGTGGCAGGAGCTTCTGATCCAATAGTCTAGGTCTTGAGTGAAAAGAACCTGCAGTATTTTTAGCAGTCACTTTATCCTAATAGAGGGCATTAACGTCGTTCCCAGCTTAGGGGAAAAATGTTTTCCAATAAATCAAAGCAAAAGAATATTAATAGTTATTTGTGAGCATTTGTGTTCCCTGGTAGTGATGTGGCCCTAAGTAATTCTTCAGCTGCATCACCATTGGAAGAAAAATAACTGATAGACAGATAGGTAAGCAGCTAGACAGACAGATAGGTAAGCAGCTACCTAGCTAGCTAGATAGATGATAGATAGATAGATAGATAGATAGATAGATAGATAGATAGATAATTTCCCTTTTTGCTGGAAAATAAATTATAAATCCATAGAGCCTAAGTAGAATCACTGATAAAATTTAGTAAGTATTTAATGTTCATCTTTTTCATGTGAGTTATAGCCTGGAATAGAAAGATGAGTAACTCACCATCCTTGGCATCAGAGTGCTCAATTATATATCTGGTGGGGGAAAATGAGGGAATAAACATAAAATTGATTACATTTTTGAAAAGATTAATCATGGGTGACACGATTCCTGTTACTCAGTATACCTGTCCACACACTTCCCACTCACACAACAATCAGCAAAGCCCTTTATATGATGGAGGTGCAGAGATGCATATTCTATTGAATGTATTAAAGTATTTCAGGGAAAACTTTACAAAGAAATTCACATGATCAAGAGACTATATATACATATATATATACAGTTATGTGTATATATATGTATATATATAGTCATGACACTGGAAAAAGTTCTAATAGAGTTAACGGCATTTGAAGTGGACCCCAAAGGTAGAGTAGCAGAGAGGCTGCACCTTAAAAACACTAATCAGAAGTGGGGTACTGTTGACAAATTAAGAGACAGGAGAAATAAACCTGAGAATTAATTACATTTGGAAGGACTTTACAAAGAAAGAATTAAGAGGCTCTGGATTAGAGGAAGTGGTCTAAAGATGGAAATATAAGTATAAAATATTGATATAGAAATAGAATTTGCATTGTTAAATATAAAAAAGTAAAGGAGGGATAATAGTCAAGTTCAAAAATCTAGATCTATATTAAGAAATAAAAAAAGTCTAGAGGAAATGAATGTTTTGGGAAATATTGAGGTATGAAAATGAATTTGTTTTTTCACCTGCCAAGTTTCAGCTCCATGCAGATATCCAAAGCTCATTGTCAAGGAGACTGAAACGCTGGTCTAGAGATAAACTTTCAGGATTCATTCATACTTAAAGCATGGAAATAGATGAAATTTTTGAGAAAGAAAGTCCCACAGAAAGGGTAGGTTTAATGAGAGAAGAAAGATCTTTGAAAAGTAAACCTAAGGAACAATATCTGTTAAAGGATATTAAACTATGATAATGTGAATCAATGTGATTCCCATTTCTGCTGTCCAGCAGTTACCAATAAAATTGTAGTTTTATTGATATTCAACTCAGTATGAGACAATTCAATGAGGTTTGCCGTTTTATTGAGAATTTCATAGCCTGTGGAATGTCCCTTATGTGATGAAAAGTATTGGAATACAATTTTGTATTACTGATGGGGCAGCTTTTATTTTCTTCTAACTAGATAGCAATAAATAAATTCTAGCACTTATGTAGCATATTATGGAAACATAAAAACTTGAGATTGCCAAGCAAATTTTTGTACATCAGGCAAATTCTTATCCAAATGACAGTAATTTTTTATTGATTGGATAAGCTATTCTTCATTCTTGTTTTCTTAGGATAGATCTAATTTTGTTTCCTATATCATAGCCTAGGCAAAGTGGAGCTGGGCGATTGTATCCCTTTCATGAACAAAAGAATTGTCAAAGTTCGTCATCTTGTCTCATCAATGAAGTTAAAACACTAATATATGAATAATAGTGGTAATAAATAATAACAATAATAATAATAATAATATAAGCCAGAATGCCTTCAAACACACTAGTTTGGACACAAACAGACTGAAGTGGCAGTAAAAATTCTTCCTTGAATTTTCCTCTCCAGTAAGATGTCTGTGTACGTTACTAAATCCAGTTCTCTCACTGTGGGTTCTGCTAGTTTTCTCCTCCCTCCATCTATCGTGTTAAGTCATCACATCTCAACAGTGGGGATCACCTACTGTTATCTATGGTTGCTGAACCATAAGCCTCCACCGCTTTTAATTAACTTGCAGACTGTTCCTGTTTCATTCTCAGGCTGCTGGGTTTTAGGAGTGTCTAAAAAGTGGAAAGAAGGAACCCTCATTCCCAGTGTGACACACTCTTATTATCTAAGCAACAAAATACTGCAGCCTGTAGTTTTAGTTTTTTTAAAAAATGCCTCTTCTAAATTTACACAATTGAGACTACAGTCCTCTCTCCCTAATACTCAAGCTGATTGGAGCTAGGCAGGATGTTAATTTGGGTGTCACATTTTCAAAGCTAATTTCTACATTCTGTACGCTGTTTCACAGTAACACATCATCTCCAATGCATGCCTCTCTTCACTCACAAGGAATTTCTTTTCCTCCTTATTAAAGTGCTCTTAAATGGCTCATGGAGAAAAAAAAAATTATTTCTGTAAGGCCATCTTACTAGGCCTTTAAATTAAGGGTAAAAATCTCAGGGTGAATAAAGCTTAATGTTAAAAGCTGCGGAAAAGAAAACTTGTTTACATCATCATCATCATCACTATTACTATTCTTACTGTCATTATTGATAACTGTGGTAAAATGGATTAAGGTTCTCTGCTCTTCACTACCCCTACCCACTCACTGTAATAGGATTACATCCAAACCTTTTGTCTCATGACTCTTGCAGGGCCTTGCAGTAGAGTAGGTGGAATATTTATTCTTATGCAGATAACTTGCTTTGGTTGGCGGGATGTTATTTAATGGGATGAAGATAGAGGCAATGAATATGCTTGAATGATCTGTCTTGGCTCCTTGTGTCTTTGTCATCTGTGGTGAGAAGAATATGTTGGGTAGAGCCATTGGTTCTGGAATAAGAACAAACACTGAGCTTTAACCAATGAGAAGAAACACTGAGCTTTAACTTGCAGCCTGGATCCAAGCCTAGCTAATTCCATCTGAGCTCAGCATTGCCAGAGCTGGCCTGTAAAAATGCATGAGCAAGAAATAGTGAGGTAAGACACTGAGATTTTAGAATTGTTTACAATGCAGCAACACCGTAAAGAAAAGTATACTTTAAAAAAACAACAAACAATTGAACACTGCTGCCTAGCTTTTCAAAACCAGACCATAGGTCTTAGATCAATAAGTAAGTAAATAACACAGAGAAAAATTATAAAATACATATCACAGAATGAAAAACCTTTCTGCTTCATTACAATGAGTTGAGTTGAAAGGCTGGAGTTGTGACTGGGACACTTCTAGAAAGAGAAGATGGAGAAAGTTCTTTCCCTTTCCATCCCCCCCGCAAAAAAAAAAAAAAAAAAAAAACCAATTAATTTGTGTGCACATTTTGTTGGTTTGCCTGGAGACTGAAGATAGACATTGCATGCATGATCCTCAGAGAGCACAGGACGATGTAAAGTATGAAATAGATGTGCCACACCCCACACAGTGTATGGGGAGTCTGGAGCCAGACTAATTGGGTTTATATATTAGCTCGTCTACTTATTAGCATGTGTGATCTAGCCATGCTGCTTTAGACCTCAGGAAGAGAGAATCACAGAAATGTAGGGAAATAACCATTCTCCTCACCTCTATCCCTGATCATGGGATAGCTTTGGCATCGTGAAAGGATTAGGTGACCACCATTGGAGGATGTCATTGCCTTGTGGAGGCACATATTCAAATGAAGGGTGCGGAAGGCAGAGAGACAAATAGATCTCCTTGACTGAGAGCAAAACAACACAAGGTGATATGTCCTTGAGCACATGGGAGACCACCTGCTTTATAGTCTCGGAATTAACAGAGTTTTTAGGTAAAGGGCAGGTGCTGCTACCGAGTAAGTAGAACCTCAGAGCTTGTGAAATTCATGAATTGATATTAATGTGGTGAAGCCTTGAAAAGATGTGGTACACTATATTTATCCTTGAATAAATTTAATTCATTTCAACAAATATTTATCAAGCATTTACTATGGGTGAAGTGTTATTTACGAATAAGAATGAAAGTAGCAGGCCTAAAGCAGTATGAATTATTAGTTTAAGCTTTTTAAAATAAATTTCAGATGACTTGAGATTGGAAAGCATATTTATTTCTTATTTCTTCATTCTTGGTTTCAGTCTTGATCGACAGAGCCCTGGATTAGCAGCACATGAGAGGCTCGTGTTCTGGTGATGATCAGTCTTAATTGGTTATCCTAACACTAGTCACCTATTGGTTCCACCTGTACAACCTCAATTTTCTTGACTGGAAAATGAAACAATTATCCTAAACTACCCTTGAATTATTATTTTCCCTTGATTTAAAATTTCATAGTTGAACTCTAGGATCTCAATTCCTTAGCTTTATGCTTGTATTTCAAATACCATTGGAATTTTTAAATGCCATAAGGCCAGTGTAAAGAATGCAAAATGGTAGTTTTGAAAAGTAGGTAGACTGAGATTTATCAGTTATAGTAATCCAAATGTTAATGCATTTATAAAAATTATCATGTTGGATTATCATAATTCTACATAGGATTAGTGGAGAGAAGGATCTCAAATAAATTAGCAAGTATATCACTTGCACCTTTGCATTGTGTTACATGTACCCAAGGATCAAAGTGATAGCCAAGAAATGTGCTCAGTGAAGAGTTAAGTTTGAGTTTTCACTATAAAGTGAAACAGCCATTAAAGCAGGTCTCAAATTTGATTTTCTTGATTTTGTTAATGATTTTTTGTTTCCCAAACAGCACAGCAGACACTGGAATGGAAAAAAACTTAAAAAAACCAAACCAAAACAAAACAAAAAACTAAAACTTAAAAACACTCCTTAGCATACCTTGAATGTGACTTAGGCAAAGTAGGACTTACTAGCAGTGTATAGGTAGCCTGAATCTAATGCCACCAGAAGGTCAGAAGGTGTTTAACTATAGGAAAGCTCTAGTTGGTCTCAGTTGGTCAGAGCACTTTGGGTTATTGTTAACCTGATTTAACGTAGTCTCCCCCAACAACCATGCTTGACTCGTTTTGTTTGTTTGTTTGTTTTAAATAAAGCTCTACATTAGTGTCAGAATAAAAGCATCTTTACTTACATGAACTAAACCTGTGGCATTTTTACTTGATCTACCCAGGTCCTGAATCGGACTTATTATTTTTGTATTACTACTAAGAGATGAGATTGAAAATAGAAAATCCCCCCATAATCCTGTTATTACTAAAACTGTCAGCTGTTGTAAATATAATGAAAATAAATAATTTATATTCAAAGTAAAACTTCATCTATTCTAAGCTTAACATATTGAACAGAATACATCAGAATAAAATAATCACTGTTACGTAATCGGTTTTTCCTTCTGGAAAGAATATGGCCTTTTTTTTTTTTTTTAAAGTCACACGAGTTTTTATTAAAGTCATATACTTACATTTTTAAAGCAAATATATTGACTAGTTCTTCTGAAAAATTGCTTGCAAAATGTAATTTCTTTTTTTTTCTTTTTTTACTCCACCAAATATTCTAGTTAATTTTTTTCTTTATTATACTTTAAGTTTTAGGGTACATGTGCACATTGTGCAGGTTAGTTACATATGTATACATGTGCCATGCTGGTGCGCTGCACCCACTAACTCGTCATCTAGCATTAGGTATATCTCCCAATGCTATCCCTCTCCCCTCCCCTCACCCCACAACAGTCCTCAGAGTGTGATGTTCCCTTTCCTGTGTCCATGTGTTCTCATTGTTCAATTCCCACTTATGAGTGAGAATATGTGGTGTTTGGTTTTTTGTTCTTGCGATAGATTACTGAGAATGATGATTTCCAATTTCATCCATGTCCCTACAAAGGACATGAACTCATCATTTTTTATGGCTGCATAGTATTCCATGGTGTATATGTGCCACATTTTCTTAATCCAGTCTATCATTGTTGGACATTTGGGTTGGTTCCAAGTCTTTGCTATTGTGAATAATGCCGCAATAAACATACGTGTGCATGTGTCTTTATAGAAGCATGATTTATACTCCTTTGGGTATATACCCAGTAATGGGATGGCTGGGTCAAATGGTATTTCTAGTTCTAGATCCCTGAGGAATCGCCACACTGACTTCCACAATGTTTGAACTAGTTTACAGTCCCACCAACAGTGTCCAAGTGTTCCTATTTCTCCACATCCTCTCCAGCACCTGTTGTTTCCTGACTTTTTAATGATTGCCATTCTAACTGGTGTGAGATGGTATCTCATTGTGGTTTTGATTTGCATTTCTCTGATGGCCAGTGATGATGAGCATTTTTTCATGTGTTTTTTGGCTGCATAAATGTCTTCTTCTCAGAAGTGTCTGTTCATGTCCTTCACCCACTTTTTGATGGGGTTGTTTTTTTCTTGTAAATTTGTTTGTGTTCATTGTAGATTCTGGATATTAGCCCTTTGTCAGATGAGTAGGTTGCAACAATTTTCTCCCATTTTGTAGGTTGCCTGTTCACTCTGATGGTAGTTTCTTTTGCTGTGCAGAAGCTCTTTAGTTTAATTAGATCCCATTTGTCAATTTTGGCTTTTGTTGCCATTGCTTTTGGTGTTTTGGACATGAAGTCCTTGCCCATGCCTATGTCCTGAATGGTAATGCCTAGGTTTTCTTCTAGGGTTTTTATGGTTTTAGGTCTAATGTTTAAGTCTTTAATCCATCTTGAATTGATTTTTGTATAAGGTGTAAGGAAGGGATCCAGTTTCAGCTTTCTACATATGGCTAGCTAGTTTTCGCAGCACCATTTATTAAATAGGGAATCCTTTCCCCATTGCTTGTTTTTCTCAGGTTTGTCAAAGATCAGATAGTTGTAGATATGCGGCGTTATTTCTGAGGGCTCTGTTCTGTTCCATTGATCTATATCTCTGTTTTGGTACCAGTACCATGCTGTTTTGGTACCAGTACCATGCTGTTTTGGTTACTGTAGCCTTGTAGTATAGTTTGAAGTCAGGTAGTGTGATGCCTCCAGCTTTGTTCTTTTGGCTTAGGATTGCCTTGGCGATGCAGGCTCTTTTTTGGTTCCATATGAACTTTAAAGTAGTTTTTTCCAATTCTGTCAAGAAAGTCATTGGTAGCTTTATGGGGATGGCATTGAATCTGTAAATTACCCTGGGCAGTATGGCCATTTTCATGATATTGATTCTTCCTACCCATGAGCATGGAATGTTATTCCATTTCTTTGTATCCTCTTTTATTTCCTTGAGCACTGGTTTGTAGTTCTCCTTGAAGAGGTCCTTCACGTCACTTGTAAGTTGATTCCTAGGTCTTTTATTCTCTTTGAAGCAGTTGTGAATGGGAGTTCACTCATGATTTGGCTCTCTGTTTGTCTGTTTTTGGTGTATAAGAATGCTTGTGATTTTTGCACATTGATTTTGTATCCTGAGACTTTGCTGAAGTTGCTTATCAGCCTAAGGAGATTTTGGGCTGAGACAATGGGGTTTTCTAGATACACAATCATGTCGTCTGCAAACAGGGACAATTTGACTTCCTCTTTTTCTAATTGAATACACTTTGTTTCCTTCTCCTGCCTAATTGCCCTGGCCAGAACTTCCAACACTATGTTGAATAGGAGTGGTGAGAGAGGGCATCCCTGTCTTGTGCCAGTTTTCAAAGGGAATGCTTCCAGTTTTTGCCCATACAGTATGATATTGGCTGTGGGTTTGTCCTAGATAGCTCTTATTATTTTGAAATACGTCCCATCAATACCTAATTTATTGAGAGTTTTTAGCATGAAAGGTTGTTGAATTTTGTGAAGGCTTTTTCTGCATCTATTGAGATAATCATGTGGTTTTTGTCTTTGGCTCTGTTTATATGCTGGATTACAATTATTGATTTGCATATATTGAACCAGCCTTGCATCCCAGGGATGAAGCCCACTTGATCATGGTGGATAAGCTTTTTGATGTGCTGCTGGATTCGGTTTGCCAGTATTTTATTGAGGATTTTTGCATCAATGTTCATCAAAGATATTGGTCTAAAATTCTCTTTTTTTGTAGTGTCTCTGCCAGGCTTTGGTATCAGGATGATGCTGGCCTCATAAAATGAGTTAGGGAGGATTCCCTTTCTTTCTATTGATTGGAATAGTTTCAGAATATATGGTACCAGTTCCTCCTTGTACCTCTGGTAGAATTCAGCTGTGAATCCTTCTGGTCCTGGACTCTTTTTGGTTGGTAAGCTATTGATTATTGCCACAATTTCAGAGCCTGGTATTGGTCTATTCAGAGATTCAACTTCTTCCTGGTTTAGTCTTGGGAGGGTGTATGTGTCGAGGAATTTATCCATTTTTTCTAGATTTTCTAGTTTATTTGCATAGAGATGTTTGTAGTATTCTCTGATGGTAGTTTGTATTTCTGTGGGATCGGTGGTGATATCCCCTTTATCATTTTTTATTGCGTCTATTTGATGCTTCTTTTTTTCTTTATTAGTCTTGCTAGCAGTCTATCAATTTTGTTGATCCTTTCAAAAAACCTACTCCTGGATTCATTAATTTTTTGAAGGGTTTTTTGTGTCTCTATTTCCTTCTTAGTTATTTCTTGCCTTCTGCTAGCTTTTGAGTGTGTTTGCTCTTGCTTTTCTAGTCCTTTCAGTTGTGATGTTAGGGTGTCAATTTTGGATCTTTCCTGCTTTCTCTTGTGGGCATTTAGTACTATAAATTTCCCTCTACACACTGCTTTGAATGCGTCCCAGAGATTCTGGTATGTTGTATCTTTGTTCTCGTTGGTTTCAAAGAACATCTTTATTTCTGCCTTCATTTTGTTATGTATCCAGTAGTCATTCAGGAGCAGGTTGTTCAGTTTCCATGTAGTTGAGCGGTTTTGAGTGAGATTCTTAATCCTGAGTTCTAGTTTGATTGCACTGTGGTCTGAGAGATAGTTTGTTATAATCTCTGTTCTATTACATTTGCTGAGGAGAGCTTTACTTCCAAGTATGTGGTCAATTTTGGAATAGGTGTGGTGTGGTGCTGAAAAAAATGTATATTCTGTTCATTTGGGGTGGAGAGTTCTGTAGATGTCTATTAGGTCCGCTTGGTGCAGAGCTGAGTTCAATTCCTGGGTATCCTTGTTGACTTTCTGTCTCGTTGATCTGTCTAATGTTGACAGTGGGGTGTCAAAGTCTCCCGTTATTAATGTGTGGGAGTCTAAGTCTCTTTGTAGGTCACTCAGGACTTGTTTTATGAATCTGGGTGCTCCTGTATTGGGTGCATATATATTTAGGATAGTTAGCTCCTCTTGTTGAATTGATCCCTTTACCATTATGTAATGGCCTTCTTTGTCTCTTTTGATCTTTGTTGGTTTAAAGTCTGTTTTATCGGAGACTAGGATTGCAACCCCTGCCTTTTTTTGCTTTCCATTTGCTTGGTAGATTTTCCTCCATCCTTTTATTTTGAGCCTATATGTGTCTCTGCAGGTGAGATGGGTTTCCTGAATACAGCACATTGATGGGTCTTGACTCTTTATCCAATTTGCCAGTCTGTGTCTTTTAATTGGAGCATTTAGTCCATTTACATTTAAAGTTAATATTGTTATGTGTGAATTTGATCCTGTCATTATGATGTTAGCTGGTGATTTTGCTCGTTAGTTGATGCAGTTTCTTCCTAGTCTCGATGGTCTTTACATTTTGGCATGATTTTGCAGCGGCTGGTACCGGTTGTTCCTTTCCATGTTTAGCACTTCCTTCAGGAGCTCTTTTAGGGCAGGCCTGGTGGTGACAGAATCTCTCAGCATTTGCTTGTTGGTAAGTATTTTATTTCTCCTTCACTTATGAAGCTCAGTTTGGCTGGATATGAAATTCTGGGTTGAAAATTCTTTTCTTTAAGAATGTTGAATATTGGCCCCCACTCTCTTCTGGCTTGTAGGGTTTCTGCCGAGAGATCCGCTGTTAGTCTGATGGGCTTCCCTTTGAGGGTAACCCGACCTTTCTCTCTGGCTGCCCTTAACATTTTTTCCTTCATTTCAACTTTGGTGAATCCGACAATTATGTGTCTTGGAGTTGCTCTTCTCGAGGAGTATCTTTGTGGCGTTCTCTGTATTTCCTGAATCTGAACGTTGGCCTGCCTTGCTAGATTGGGGAAGTTCTCCTGGATAATATCCTGCAGAGTGTTTTCCAACTTGGTTCCATTCTCCCCATCACTTTCAGGTACACCAATCAGACGTAGATTTGGTCTTTTCACGTAGTCCCATATTTCTTGGAGGCTTTGCTCATTTCTTTTTATTCTTTTTTCTCTAAACTTCCCTTCTCACTTCATTTCATTCATTTCATCTTCCATTGCTGATACCCTTTCTTCCAGTTGATCACATCGGCTCCTGAGGCTTCTGCATTCTTCAAGTAGCTCTCGAGCCTTGGTTTTCAGCTCCATCAGCTCCTTTAAGCACTTCTCTGTATTGGTTATTCTAGTTATACATTCTTCTAAATTTTTTTCAAAGTTTTCAACTTCTTTGCCTTTGGTTTGAATGTCCTCCCGTAGCTCAGAGTAATTTGATCGTCTGAAGCCTTCTTCTCTCAGCTCATCAAAGTCATTCTCCATCCAGCTTTGTTCCATTGCTGGTGAGGAACTGCGTTCCTTTGGAGGAGGAGAGGCGCTCTGCTTTTTAGAGTTTCCAGTTTTTCTGTTCTGTTTTTTCCCTATCTTTGTGGTTTTATCTACTTTTGGTCTTTGATGATGGTGATGTACAGATGGGTTTTTGGTGTGGATGTCCTTTCTGTTTGTTAGTTTTCCTTCTAACAGACAGGACCCTCAGCTGCAGGTCTGTTGGAATACCCTGCCGTGTGAGGTGTCAGTGTGCCCCTGCTGGGGGGTGCCTCCCAGTTAGGCTGCTCGGGGGTCAGGGGTCAGGGACCCACTTGAGGAGGCAGTCTGCCCATTCTCAGATCTCCAGCTGTGTGCTGGGAGAACCACTGCTCTCTTCAAAGCTGTCAGACAGGGACATTTAAGTCTGCAGAGGTTACTGCTGTCTTTTTGTTTGTGTGTGCCCTGCCCCCAGAGGTGGAGCCTACAGAAGCAGGCAGGCCTCCTTGAGCTGTGATGGGCTCCACCCAGTTCGAGCTTCCTGGCTGCTTTGTTTACCTAATCAAGCCTGGGCAATGGCGGGCGCCCCTCCCCCAGCCTCGTTGCCGCCTTGCAGTTTGATCTCAGACTGCTGTGTTAGCAATCAGCGAGACTCCGTGGGCATAGGAACCTCCGAGCCAGGTGCGGGATGTAATCTCGTGGTGCACCGTTTTTTAAGCCAGTCCGAAAAGCGCAATATTCGGGTGGGAGTGACCCAATTTTCCAGGTGCGTCCGTCACCCCTTTCTTTGACTCGGAAAGGGAACTCCCTGACCCCTTGCGCTTCCCAAGTGAGGCAATGCCTCTCCCTGCTTCGGCTCGCACACGGTGCGCGCACCCACTGACCTGTGCCCACTGTCTGGCACTCCCTAGTGAGATGAACCCGGTACCTCAGATGGAAATGCAGAAATCACCTGTCTTCTGCGTCACTCAAGCTGGGAGCTGTAGACCGGAGCTGTTCCTATGCGGCCATCTTGGCTCCTCCCCAGAATATGGCCTTTTTAAGGTAAGTCATTTCTAATCTATATATAGGCAGTGATTTAAAATTTTAATTTTTACCTAAACAAAGATGTTAATTGTACCTGATTTTAATTATATTGGGAGTCACTTAGACATGCATTCTCTGTGAAAGAAAAAATCAATAATTTGGGAAACATTTTCATTTCTGTAGTTTCTATCATGTAAGTGGAGGATCCCAGTAAGTTTGGAGGACCAAAAGTATCTTCTCATGTTCCCTGTAATTCAGTCTTATTTTCTTTCTCATCATTTGTTTGGTTTCTGGTTTTTTTTTTTTCTTTTAGCCTTGTTGATTGACAATTTATTTTCTTTTAATTTCTTGACACTTCTGTGGCATTGCAGGAAAAAGATTGTGTGTGTGTGTGTGTGTGTGTGTGTGTGTGTGTGTGTGTGTGGTGTGTCTGTTTCCCAGTAATCATATCACTCATAATATTTGGCACAAGTGTCCTAAAGGACACATGCTTTATAGCAAGCCAAAGTAGTTTTTATTTTAACAGAAAACATTCAAACAAAACTGGACAAAATATCTCAATCTTACATGTCCCTTGTCAGTTGAAGGACCAATATGTTTCCCTGAGGCATTTTTACTCCATTGTTTCAGGTTAGGGCTAAAATCCAATGGCACATTTCATACTATGTGGAAGATACTAGTCTCATAACATCTATATGATTTTGATTAATATTGTTAAGAAAAAATGACTAAGGACTTTCACAGAGTAAATATTTAGTAACCTTTTAAACAGATGACTAAAGGTACCATGCTGTAAATACAGAAAGAGCCATTCTAAATATTGCATTTTATTTACTTATCATACACAGACTAGAAGAACCAATACCAAAAATATATAGGTTTGCCAAAAGTATTTCATTTCTTCATTTCTTATGGATGTTTTTGGATAAAAGTACTAAGAGAATCAAAACACATTTCACGCCAGTCTCCATTTAAGGATAAAACTATTTCAAAAAAGGTGATAGGAAACAAGACATAAAATCTCTAAAAGCATTTATCAACATTGAGGCTACAAAATACAGAGAAGGGGATTTTTATAGTTGGTAGTTGGTACATTCATGAGTCCTACCCCAGTACCCTTAAGAACGAGGGATGGGGGTTGCTTCATTATTTGCCATTTGGAGAACTTAAAATACGCTCCTTGCAGTTTGGAGATGCAGTGGCCTGGCTACTGACTTTTGCCTGAAAAGCTGATACGGCAAATGTGGGCTGGTTTCTTGCTTTGAAGCTGCACAAAAAGAGGTGCAGCTGTGGGGCAGCAGAGTCCACAAGGGCAAAGAGTATATAAATGTTTTCCATGCACAAGACTGTAGGGCCAGGGTCATCTTACATCCTGTTTGAGATGGTTCCTTGAAAGGGAAACAAAAACAAAAACAAAAACCTCGAGAAAAAATAAAGAAGTTGAGGGATGGACAAGATGAGAAAAAAAGTCACTGTCCTGAAGAGATATTCATTTGCTTTGTCCAGGGAACTGCAGCAGAGAAAACCTCAGGGATAGGGTGAGAAAGAGCCATTCCCCCTGGGTCATCACACTAACATCGATGAATTCAGACTTTTTGCACCCTCTCCTTATCCATTCTTTTGGCCCATACTTCACATTTAGAGGAGGTCAGAAAATACCCATGAGGGAATGTCTAAAAAAGTAGAGGGGATAAATGAAGGAGGAAAATACAAACTGGAACTCACATTTGAAATTTTTATTCTACATAGGACTGGACATTTTAAATTTTGAATTGTGACTCAAATTCAAAGTACTAGAGGACTTTTACCATCTTAAGAATGATGATCAACTCATGGAATCTGGGTGAGTTTTCATCCAAAAGGAAGGGACTAAAATAACTCCACATAGTGTATTTTAAGTACAAAAGGAAATAGAAATAAAATTGCTTGTGATTTCCCCTACAAGTACAACCAGTTCAATTACATTGAGAATTCAAGAGCTGATGCACTTATTAGTAACCAATAAGTCAAAATTAAAAACAGAATTGGTAGTGACTCATCAGGTAACAAAGAACTAAAGAGGAAGTTTTAGCTACAATTACTTGAAGGGTTTTTTTTCCCTTTCTCCCATTCATTTTTCTTTCTCTTCATAGTTTATTTCTATCTCGGAAGAGGAATATTCTGCTTTATGTCAGTCAACAATACATTTCAGAGAATCAGATGTTCTGTGCCAAAATGTTAACTGGGTACCTATTTCGTAATGTGTAAAAAAAAAAAAAAAAAAAAAAAGATTACGATACATTACATGTCAATTCCAAATTCCAAAAGTTGATTTATCATAAAATTGATGAAACTTAACCTTCAAAGTCCTTCACTTGCAGGAACCCCTTCCAAGATCCTGGGAAGAAACTAGTAATGCATATTTGTAATGTTCATAAATGTAAGATAATTTTATATTATTTTAGTTAAAGGAGACCCCCTCAAATATTACAAGCTGCAGCTCCTACAAAACCTAGACTCATTCTAATAGAACAATCAACTTATTTCCTACATGTAAATAAAATATGGAAAACCCCTATATAGAAGGATGCTTGGATGTGAAATGATTAAACGTTGTTTCCTGATTGTCAAACAATTCATATAATTAGTGCAACAGTTGTTTTTGTGTATAGAAATATCTATTCTACTATTTTTTTCGTTTACTTGTTTTCTTATTCATAATTTCCTTAATACTTTCTTTTTAAAAAAAAAAACTTTTACTTCATGTTCAGTGGTACATATGCAGCTTTGCCTTATAGGTAAACTGCATGTCTCAGGGGTTTGGTGTACAGATTATTTCATCACCCAGGTAATAAGCATAGTGCCCAATAGGTAGCTTTTTGATACTCTCCCTCCTTCCATCCTTCACCCTCAAGTAGACCCTAGTGTCTGTTTTTCCTTCTTTGTGTCTATGTGTTATTGTTTATGTCCCACTTATAAGTGAGAAGATGTGGTATTTGTTTTTCACTTCCTGAATTAGTTTGCTTAGGATAATGGCCTTCAGCTCCAGCCAAGTTCCTGGAAAAGACATGGTCTTATTCTTTTTATGGCTGCATAGTATTCCATGGTGTATATGTACCACATTTTCTTTATCCAGTCTACCGCTGATGGGCATTTAGGTTGATTGCATGTGTGACTAGTGCTGCAATAAACATATGTGTGCATGTGTCTTTATGATAGAATGATTTATATTCCTGTGGGTATATACTCAATAATGAAATTGCTGGGTCAAATGATAATTCTGTTTTAAGTGCTTTGAGAAATCTTCACACTACTTTATATAATGGCTGAACTAATTACATTCCCACCAGCAGTGTATAAGCATTCCCTTTCCTCTGTCACCTCGCCAGCATCTGCTCTTTGACAAGGTCAACAAAAACACGCAATGTAGAAAGGACTCCCTATTTAACAAACGGTGCTGGGATAACTGGCAAGCCATATGCAGACGATTGAAATTGGACCCCTACCTTTCCCCATACAATCAACACAAGATGCATTAATTTCTAAATGTAAAACCTAAAACTATTAAAACCCTAGAAGATAACCCAGAAAATACCATTCTACACATTAGACCTGGCTAAGATTTCATAACAATAATGCCAAAGGCAATTGCAACAAAAAAGAAAGTGGACAATTGGTACCTAATTAAACTAAGAAGCATCTGCACAGCCAAAGAAACTATCAGTAGAGTAAACAGGCTACATAATGGGAGAAAATATTTGCAAACTATGCATCCAACAAAGGTGTAATATCCAGAATCTGTAAGGAACTTAAACAAATTTACAAGCACAAAATAACCCAGTTAAAAAGTAGGCAAAGGACATGAACAGACACTTTTCAAAAGAAGACACACATGTGGCCAGCAAGCATGAAAAAATGCTCACATCACTAGCCATTAGAGAATTGGCAATCAAAACCACAATGAGGTATCATCTCACACCAGTCAGAAAGGCTATTATTATTATTATTATTTTTATTAGAGATGGAGTCTTGCTCTATCGCTCAGGCTGGAGTGCAGTGGCTCGATCTCAGCTCATTGCAACCTCCACCTCCCAGGTTCAAGATATTCTCCTGCCTCAGTCTCTCAAGCAGGTGGGATTACAAGTGCATGCCACCCATGGCCCAGCTTATTTTTGTATTTTTAGTAGAGATGGGGTTTTGCCATGTTGCCCAGGCTGGCCTCGAACTCCTGACCTCAAGTGATCTGCCTGCCTCAGCCTCCCAAAGTGCTGGGATTACAGATGGGAGCCACCACGCCCAGCCAGCTATTATTAAAAAGTCAAAATAATACTTTCTTGATTTGAGGAGGGTGTTTATTGTATAATACTCGGTTAAACTTTGAAAGGCATTCTGGAAACACCTCGGGACAAGTGCACTAGGCACAGAATAGCTCACAATGAGTATGACACTGCGATGGCTCTTAGAACCAGAAATATCCCCAGTACATGTCTCCTTTGTTGATGCATGCTGCTTTTTTCAAAATAGCTACATGTGATTGTCATGTCTTACTAATTATAATTAAAATGTATCTTGAGTACTTACTGTACACTGTTTTCTCAAAAATGATTGTGTTTTGGCCTGGCACAGTGGCTCATGCCTGTAATCCCAGTACATTGGGAGGCCTAGGCAGGAGGATTGCCTGAAGCTAGGAGTTCAAGACCAGCATGAACAACAATGTGAGACCCCATCTCTACTAAAAATATTTAAAATTAGCTGGGTATGTTGGTGCAGGCCCATAGTCCCAACTACTCAGGAGGCTGAGGCAGGAGGATTGCTTGAGCCCAAGAGTTCAAGGCTGCAGTGAGCAATGATCACACTACTGCACTACAGCCTGAGTGACCCTGCCTTTAAAAAAAAAAATGATTGCATTTTGTTTTCCAAATGCAAATATAAAATTTCCTATGTAAACATCAGCTATAAATGTATTGACAGTTAATGCATCATATAAAGTTTAAATAAGAACAAAAAAACACTCTACTGGGAACAGTGTAATGGAGAGATAGATGTTGGGAGAATTTACCTTACTTTTCAAAATTGCCTTGCAGTTGAACCTCTAAGGCATCACTAAATAACAATAGTGACAACAATAAAAATAATAACAATAATAGCCAATGTTTGGCTTAACTAAACCTTCTCAAGCACGATTTCATTTAATCTTTTAAACAATCCAATAAAATAAGTATCATTATATCTATTTTAGAGATGAAAGAACTAAGAGGTTCAGTAATTTATTCAAGGTGACACAGCTCATATGTGACAGAGTCAGAAGTCCACTGCATTTAGTTCAATTTTTCAACAACTATTTAGAGAGCATCTCCTCGACACAAGACATGCCAGTTTGTTTTGCTTAAATTTTATATCATACAACATTCACTACAGAGATTTACTTCTCTGTCTTACAAAATTTGCACATAAGTTTTGTGTCAAAAACTTTTTCTTTGTAAATAATAGGTTGTTGGCATCGACCTTGCATTTCTGATGGTAGCAAAAACCATCACAAACTTTCTGCAGAACAGTATGAGAATATTTGGTGAAATTAAGCATGTGAATACCACATGATACAAAACTCATGCTCTTGGCTATACATAATGGGAACTATGTATCACTTAGAATAAATGAACTAGTTATATACACAACTATATGAATACATCAAAACTTAGTATTGAGTAAAGCAATAAAGAAAGCAAAGATTACAGCACAATATCACATATATAATTACACATAAAACTGGAAGAAAATATTAACTTCAGAAACACTGGACATTTTTCAAGAATATGCACAAATTCAAAGAACTTAAACTGACCTCATTATATGGTTACAAAAGAAGGGATGGGAAATAGGTACTGGGATAAAATAAGGAAGAAATTGTACATGATGTGGTGATGACAATGTTTCACAAATTAAGAAATATTAATAATTCAAATAATTGACCTGAGTTCCTGGGAATTTTGATTCAATGTTATGATCCAGAAAGTCCATGCCTGAGATCAAACACCACTCAAGAGTTGGAATACAAAGCAAAATAAATTCAGCATTGCATCCTCAGAGCAATGAATCACCAAAGACAGTCCCCTCCAGTCAGTAGTCATCACTGAGCTCACTTTATCAAGTTATTTATTCAAGTAAGAACATTTAATTAAATTCTCACTAGAATAGCTAGAAGTCATAAAAAACAAAGGTGTACTCATAACAAACCAGTGTATTGAAGTATAGCTTGCCTATCCTTATAATTTAGTTAAAATAGAATTTCTCAATGTGGCTTGCTATAAAGCAGAATTCAAGAGGTCTCCTGTAGTATTAATGTCTGATAAACAGTGTGTGATTCTCTTCCTCAATATTTCTTTCTTTCTGTCTCTTTGTTTCGGTCTCTGTATATATATTACTGATTTTAATTAAAATATAAACATTCTTAAAAAATAATTATTTGATTATCTTCCATTAATAATTAATGATAGAGAATGTTTACAATTGCCACATGCCAGATGTTGCTGTGTGCCCTATTAAGGAGTTTAAATGAGATACTTAATTCTCAGTTTACTCAGGTTGATACTATTTTCATCACCAGATATCACATACCAGCACAGACTTCCCTGGTAGGTGATACATGGCATATTTAAAAAACTTATATTCTAGAAGTTGATAATATAGTTACATGAACCAAGTGCTGAAATCATCTCATATTGATGATTCAACCCATTTTCTCTGTATATGGCTTCTTTGTTAATTTTTCTTCTATTGTATTGACCAGGTCTCTCTCCTTTATCTCCCTGTATTTCCCGGTGCAATACCACCAACATCATATTCACCTCTACACTGCATTGTATTTTTCTGTTTATGCCTGTCTTTACCATTAGACTGTGGGGTTATCTGAGATGGAAACTATCTCTTGAATACCTTTATCGTGAAGAAAAATAATGTAGTAAGCTCTTGTCTACTATATTTTTTAAAAGTAAGAAGGGGGATACAATTGATATCTTCAAGATACATTCTCATCTAGAATGTATCTAAATAAGTAGCTAGTGCATCAACTAGGTGAAATAGACCTTAACTTTATTTTCATTCACCTGAGGATATGTGAATGCACAAAACCTCATATATTTATAGAAGTCTATTAGAAAAACACATTTCAGTAGCAGCATTTTAGTTCAAATTGGTTTCTTTAGATGCAAATTATCAGGGGCCGGCAGTCTCATCATAGCTGAGTATTAGTGCTTGGTGAGTTTGTATGCTCTCACTTTTGGAAAGGGAATACTTTTCAGGTATGAAAACCCTATTTCCAAAAGCCCAAGTGGATTGGTTGTGTGAAAGAGATAACCCTGCAGCTGCTTAGTCAGTGGTAATGCAGCCATCATTCCTCTCAAAATGCAAGGTATAATAAAAAGCTGCAAATGTAGAGTGTAATATTCAGCCAAGGCTTCATGAAACACAATTCCTACTGCATTAATATCCAAGCCCAGTTTTCTATCGGGAACTTGGTGCTATGAAGAGTGCCAATTCATTTCCTATTAAGAAAGGCATCATGGATACAGCCAAACAATAGCTTGTTTAAGTCTCCTTCAGGACTAGCAATTACCTGTATCCTTGAAAAATAGAAGGAACGGCATGTGGAGGGTCAGCAAGAGTGGACAGCTGGTCAATCCTCTGGGCTGGAACTACATAAAGGCTCAGCACTGCTGTTTAAATGTGGAGTGTCATTAAATTGGCATTTAATTGAACACTATAAGCAATGTCACTAGTACAACTATGTTGTTAATGATTAACCCTAAAGTAATCAGATGCTGTCTTCTGGTGACTTCTTAAAATGTCACTTACCCAAGGGCTGTCCAGGGGGAACTAAAGAAGATACCAATGCTACAAAGGAAGAAAATCTACCTGTATAAACTTACAACCTTACTTCTTACTTGTCTCACTTGTAACGGCATTGGTACAGAGTCTACATAATTTCACTTTCAACGACTTGCTAAATCAGTAATTAAAATACAAATAAAATCCAAAGATATTTGAAATTCTACAATTATTTACTTTGAATTTGATTTATCTTTGATAAAAATACATTGATGATTTGAGATACCCGTTAAATTTTAAAGTAACCTTGAATGGCAGCTACAGACTTTGGGCTATCTCTGCCTGCAATGCCTACTCCCTAATCACTCACAATCCCTTCTATAGCTGCTAACCCTGAGGTTACATATGTGTTTCCCAAAATATACACGCATTTGCATCAATAATTTTGCTTTATATTTGTTTGTCCATTTGTTAAATAGGGGGGTTTTATGTGAAATGTTTGATGACCCCAATTTTGACCAGAAAACAAAACAGTATTCAGAGAAAAGGTTTCGATCCATGTGGATGTGGGTGTGTGAGCAAGAGGAAAGTGTGATGAGTCAGAAGGTGAAAGCCAAGGATAAGGGGAATTAAAAGCAAGAGAAAGATGGCTTAAAGACAGGCTGAATATCTCTGGGGAGCTGGTTCAGGAAAATTTCTGAGTGAATGAGAAACACACTGTAGACATTTAAGATAGGCAGAATGTCTCCAAAGAGCCAGATCAGGAGAATTTCTGATTGAGGGAGACACAGTAATCAGCTTAATATATCAGACAACCTTCTGGTTATTTCAGGAAAAGACCAAATTTTATGTCTAGAAAACCGTCTAAAATTGATGTTGCCATGTCCTTTTTATCCAAGAGAACTGAGAAAGATTGCTGTGGAGTGATGTCAATCACTTTCAACTTATCGAGTAAATACTGATTGCTTACTTTGTGCCAAGTATTGGACTAAACACTAGAGGTACAATTATGGACATTGTCCTTAAGGAGCTTATACTTTGTTGAAAGAAGCAGGTGATGGCAAGACCTTTTGCACATTTTTAAATAAGAAAAAAATAAGCACAGGGTGCTTGGGGGCACAAGGGAGGAATGTCTGTGTTAGTCTAAAGAGAACAATTCTTCTTATGGGAGTGACATCCAAAGGGAGACTAGAAGGAGGAATCAGGAATCTGCCAGCTGGCAGGGAATGGGATAGAGATGAGGGGCAGAAGAGTTTTCTAATCAAAGCCCTAGAGACAAAGACACTAGTGATAAAATACAGAAGACCAGAGGGTGAGAATAAGAGTCAGTGAGTGAGCAAGAGAGAGAGAGATCAAGAAAGGTTCTGGACATTTCTACTAAGCAAAATAAGGTAGAATGAAAATATGTTAAACAGAAATGCTACATTTGTGCATTAGAAAAGTGACATCAGCTACAGTGTGGGGAAAACTAGACATGTGGATAAGACAGATAGCAGGGAGACCAGTTAGGAAAGTAGCTATTGCAACATTCCAGAAAAGGGATGATGGTGTCCTGAGCAAAAGTGGTGGTAATGGGAACAAGGAGAAATAGAAGCATTTGAGACATACTTAGGAGGCAGGAGTGGTAGACCAAGACTGTGCTTAGTGTCAAAACGGGACTAAGTTGGTAGAGAAGCAAATAAACTAAATCTGGGAATACCCTATACTGTGTAATTATTTTTGTAGTCATTTTATACAGTTTTGCCCAGTTTCTTCCAATAATATATTCAAAGACATTTTCAATTATAAGAAACAGTAAAAGAGAATATTGCTGGAATTATAAAAGTGTAGGGATCCAGTGTAAGAGAATATGATTCGTTTTTCAGGCTTGATGTTGGCAGAATTTATAAGCAATGAAATAAGAAGCCTTATATGTAGTTGATCTTGACAATTTGCCCTGTGCTTAAAATATTTTTATTGGAATCATTGCATACTATTCTTACCTATTTCAAGTCAGAAAATATCACAGTCTTATTAGATGTGCATCACAGCCTACAACTAAATCCAGAGAAGATTTCTGACAAGTCACTTGAAGTACAAGACCTGAGACATCCTTCTGGCAGAAGAGTGTGTTCCATATAGTGGTAGAATTATCGTTCTGTCCCTGGCCAACTCAGCTAATGGACCCATTAGCTAACTTTTCTGCAGTCCTGGAGGTGAAATCCTGGCTTCGCAGTGTGATGTGTAAACCACAAATTACTCTTCCTCTCAAAAACCATTCCTCTTTAAGATTCAAACCAGCTCTAACATCCTCTACAGATATCTTAGCTGGGAAAACTGAGACTTTACTCTTGACAGCCTCACATTCCCCAAGATTCACATGTCTCACTCTAACTAAACATGAACCCAATTTCTTCTTGGACCACAGAAAAAAATCTCACTCTGAAAAACTGTCATTTTGGTTTCTCTTCGTTATGCATCTTGGATGATTGTTCTCTTGAGCCATACTCCCTTAGTATCCTCAACCCCTTCCTCCTCTGTGATCTTCTCATAGTTTGTGGTTTTCTGAGGGCTGGTGGGAAAAAACAAGTCAATGGGAAATCTCTGACCAAACCTTTGCCACTCACTGAACATCTCTTTCACAGCCCTCAATCCACTGAACCGTCTGCTATGCCAGTCATAGAGAATACTCAACGTATTAGGGATCTGAAATTTGAAAAGTTATTTATGAACAACTGAGCTTTTATGAATGTTTTATTGCTCTTTGGATAGTTAGATCTATGCAGTCATCTTGAAAAGAGAAATTTCCAAAGGCTCCAAAAAAGGAGAGGAAGAGGGGATTGGCGACTTATATAAAAGTTAGTTTCCAACTTCTCATTCCCTGACAAAGGTGTTTGCTGAACCCAAAGATGGTATCCAAGCAGAAGACTCAGCAATAACAACAAAACTTGAAGTTAAACTTGTGTTTGGCAGAGAAGCATCATTTATAAATTATAAATGAAGACTTACTTGTATGTTTACATAAATAATGGCAAGCTGAAAATGAGCAGAACTGCATTGCCATAACACAAAAAGTCAGCCCACTTGCTTCATTCGCATCATCTGTTGTTCTGCACTTGCTGGCTACTGGGCTGCAATTAATATTTAAAGATCATTTAGGTAATATAAAATAAATAATTATAAAGTTGTATGTGTTCTACAATATTGTAAGAAACAATTACTCCACTAAGTTTTACAGCAATGAATTCCATGACTTAACCAAGTAGTGAGTTCCTTTAAAAAAAAATACCTCACAAGGACAAAAAACCAAACGCCTCATGCTCTCACTCATAGGTGGGAATTGAACAATGAGAACACTTGGACACAGGAAGGGGAACATCACACACTGGGGCCTGTTGTGGGGTGGGGGGAGGGGGGAGGGATAGCATTAGGAGATATACCTAATGCTAAATGACGAGTTACTGGGTGCAGCACACCAACATGGCACATGTATACATATGTAACTAACCTGCACGACGTGCACATGTACCCTAAAACTTTAAGTATAATAAAAAATAAATAAATAAATAAAAATACCTCTTCTAAAAGAAAACAAAGCAATGCTTCTTTCCATGAGATACATGAACACATAAACATACCTTCTCATTTAAAGATAATTAACACTGCCTTTATTTCTCTATCCTTTTGTCTTATAATTCACAGACACTCTTGACAGAGTTTGCCCTAGTAATGGCTGACTGTTCTTTTTGATATAATCACTCTTTTCTCCTACGGACAGGCCAATATCTTCTGTGATTAGCAAGGGATAGCCCTGTCTATCTCGATTAGTCATGGATGCTTAGCAGTTCACTACATGCATCACCACTAATTGCAGAAAAAGTATTCATCTGGGCTCCTTTCCTTTTTATGTTTTCTTTTATCCCCAAACGAAATAGGCAAGTAACCCTATCCCTATGAGATGAACTGGCATTCGTAAAATACACTATGCTTCCTCATAATTATTATTTGAAAAAATATTACTTTGAATAATCTTGGCTGTTTTTAATGAAAATCAGGCCACAAATTTAGTAGCTCATGTAGTCCCTAAATTTTAGCTGCTAGTGTTCTTTTAAGGTAGTGGCTACAGGAATGAGTTGAGGAATAATACCATGTCACGGGTGAGGGTGGATGTTTAAATAAGTGTTTCAATATTTTTACTCTGAATCTGTATCCAAAATCTTATTTGCCAGTTAAACATTTACAATGAAAGTAGGAACTAGAGTGCAAATTAACAGAATACATTTAACGATAATAACACATATTAAATCAAGTACTTATTATAACTCATAGAGATACTACCCCATAAAGCTCAATAAAGCATTTATTTTCAGGTTCTTTTATCATATTTTTGGCCAATATTATACTTTCTAGTATAATAAGGACAGTTATGAAACTTTAAATATTAGCAATTCAGGAACTAATACAATTTATAAAATATAGGTGATGTTTTTTGAAGATTTGCTCAATCAATATTATCAATCTTATCTCAATTTCTAACTTCATTTTCTATTATTTGAACAAATAGATTGTGAATAATAACTCTGGAACATTAAATGTTGGAAGTTCAGAATGAAATGTTTTATTGCTACATCTGAAAAAAAAGAAAATAACAAAAAGATAAGATCAGAACTGTGAGCCTCACAAAGGTCAACCTCACCTTGTGGTTAATAAAATAATTAGCACAGGTAAATGCAGAATAGCAAGTTATTGTAAGAACTAAGAACATTTTATATAGCTATAAGTCAGCCCCAAATCAGGAAGGGTGACCTTTGAAATAACTGACAGTGGATGATTGAAAATGCCAGAGATGGGGGTCAGGGTTGGGATAGTTGGGAAAAGTACAGCATTAAGCACAGGGAACTAGTACTTACTGTCTAGTCACTCTCCTTAGACTCAAAACCACAGTGTAATTTAACTATTATTAGTCCTATGTGATGCATAAGCCTCAGCATAATCACCTATGTTCACAACTAAGCAGTAGTGAAATTAGGCTTATTCTCACTTCTTTGTGAGTCCAAAGTCCTTGTCCTTTTTACTGCACTAGGATGTCTCCCAGCTCAGGATGGGTGCTAGGCTGGAGACAAACTATGGTTAAGGAGAAAACAGATAAAGTCAAGTAAAAAATGAAGTCAAAATTAGAACTGAAGCTGTGGAAATTGATTCTAAAAATGAAAACCAAGCAATGAGGAAAAAAGAATTTGGAAAACCAAGATTTGGAAATTATTTTTTCCAGAATTTTAACTTTAAGTAAGTTCTCTTATGAAATCAGGTAATCGGAAAAAAATAAAAACAAAAAACAAAAAACACTCCTTTCCAGATATACTGTTTAAACAAGTTGCAAGGATAACAGTTAGTTTGAAACTCTCAAAACAAATTTTAATAGTCAACAAAAAGAGCAATGTAGTCCTCTGTGGAAAAACAGAGTTAATTTTAAACACATGTAGATGTGATACAGATAAAATCGAGAAAGGAAAACAGAAATGTTTTTAATGAGCTACATTGAAAAATATCTGGTGGAAAATTTAGTAAGTGAATAAATACAAATGTGGTGTTGCCAGGGCAATTGTCACCACCTGGTTTGCAGTCTCTGTCTTCTTCAGCCACATGAAAAATCCTATTAATTCATTTTTCTGTAAAAGGGAAGAAAGAAGAGCTTCATAATTAAAACCTCGCTCAAACTACAAAAATCAAATTATGACCTTTTGCATGTTTAAAACCCTAAAACAAATGGACACTTGAAAGAAAATTGACCACCACATTTTACTTTAAAGGGAAAGTCTAAAAATATATATACAACCAACAATCACATAATTAACTTCCTACAAGTTTAAGGACCTATTCTCTCTGACAAGATATAAACTAATTATATTTAATCAGACTATATTATAGGATTATACTATATAAAATCATGCTTTATAAAATAAAGAAGAAGTAGCATGGGAAGACCCTATGAGCATAAGATATAACTGCCCAAGGGTGACAAGGATAGAAAACAAAGGGGAAAAATGACAATATCCACTAAAATTAGTTTAGCTCCTTTCTCATTCCATTGTAGAAACCTGAATTGCTTATTGGTATGTGCACAATGATGAAAACAAAAATAGATTAAGCAGCCTGGAATAATGCCAATCACGTATTCTCATGAAGTAGCAGTTCTAGCATTTCATAGCACACAGATGACTCGCTGGAGACTGCAGAGGTAGCTCTTTCACGGAGACAGAAAGAATAAGTATATCCAGTATGGTTCTGCCACATCAGCAAAACTCTGAGCTTGAATCATGAAGCTGCATATGCATACTGAGAGAAAAGTTAAATACTGGCTAATAAAGTGGCTTTGAATCCAGACAATTAAGAATTGAAATTCCAACTCTGCTATCTTTAAATAAATGTTACTGAGATGACTTTTGTGCAATCATCTGCACCCATTTAAAGTGTACAACTCAATACATTTTGGTAGATACACCTGTGAAACCACCTGTACAATCAAGATACAAAACAATTTCATCATTTCCAAAGATAGATCATGTCTTTTCGTGGTCCATTCTTCCTTCTGTCCATATCCAAAGTCAACAACAGATCAACATCAACTTTTTGTCTTTCTAAATATCCTTGTATTCCCTTTGCTTGTGTATATATGGAAGCATATGGTATGTACTCCTTTGTGTTTGCTTCTCTCACTCAGCATAGTGAATTTTAGATTTATCTCTGTTGTTGCCATTGGCAGTATCTTGATCCTGCTTATTGCAGAGTGGTATTTCAGTGTTTACTTATGCCACTTGTGTTTCACCTGTTGATGGACCATCGAGTTATTCATACTTTTTGGCTATTATTAGTAAAACTGCTGTCATCATCTGTATATGAGTCTTTTTATAGACACATGTCCATTTGTCTTGGATAAAGATCTAAGAATTTGATAGCTCATTTCTCTAGTAAATGTCTATTTCACCATTTAAAGAAACGCCAGTTTTCTATAGTTTTTTTTTTTTCGCTTTTGTTTTTGTTTTTTTCCACCAGCAACAGTGTATGAGCATTCTGGTTGCTCTACATCTTCACAGGACTTGAATTTTTTCAACCTTTTTAAGTTTGACCATTATAATGTGTGTAGAGTAGTTTCTTCTTGTAAGTTTAATTTGCACTTTTTCTGATGAATAAAGATGTTGAGCTTCTTTCATGTGCTTGTTGAGTATTAGTATATCTTCTCATTTGAAGTGTCCACTCAAAAATTCAAGTCATTCTATGGACTTGTTTTCCTGTTGTTGAGACAGAAATACAATTTGACCCAGCAATCCCATTACTGGGTATATATCCAAAGGAATATAAATCATTCTACCATAAGGATACCTGCATGCATATGTTCATTGAAGAGCTGTTCACAATGGCAAAGACATGGAATCAACCTAAATGTCAATCAGTGATAGACTGGATAAAGAAAATGTGGAATATATACACCATGGAATACTATACAGCCATAAAAAAGAATGAAATCATGTCCTTTGCAGGAAGCTGGATGGAGCTCAAGACCATTATCCTTAGCAAACTAACACAGGAACAGAAAACCAAATACTACATGTTCTCCTATAAATGGGAGCTAAATGATAAGAGCACATGGAAACAAAGAGAGAAACAACAAACACTGGGGCCTTTCAGAGGATGAAGGCTGGGAAAAGGGAGAGGATCGGGAAAAATAACTAGAGGGTACTAGGCTTAATAACTGGGTGATGAAATAATCCCTACAACAAACCCCCATGACACATGTTTACTTATGTAACAAACCTGCACATGTACCCCTGAACTTTAAAGTTCTTTTTAAAAAGAATTCTTTTAAGTATTCTAGAAACAAATCCTTTGTCAGCTGTATGTTTTAAGATTATTTTCTCTCAGTAGATGGCTTTCCTTTTAGTTTTCGCTATATTATTATTCAAAGAACAAAAGATGTAAATTTTGATGAAGTCCAATGTGTCTGTTGCCTTTTATTGTTCATGTTTTCTGCTCCTTATTAAATAAATCATGGCCTACTCCAAGGACAAAGATTTTCTTCCACATTTTATTCTAGAATTTTTATAGTTTAGCTTTTATGTTTAGGTCTGTATTCCCTTTAAGTTATTTCCTTGTGTATGATGTGAGGTGAGCATTAACGTTTATCTACTGCTTCTCCTAATCTCTCCCCACTGTGCCCAGTTGTTTTAGCACTATTGCCTGGAAAGAGTTTTATTTAACCATTGACTTTTCTTGACATCTTTGTCAAAAATCAATTTGTCCTATACAGTGAGTCTTTTCCTAAAGTCCCTATCCTGTTTCATTGATCTGTTTGTCAGTCTTTATACCAATACTATGCTGTCTTGGGTTGTTCTCTGAGTGCTGTAATAGCATTGGTAAAGTGATTTACTATTTTTGCACGATTATCTACATTTTATTCTAATTTGTGTATTTTGAAGCTTTTTTATTAGGCCCATAAACATTTAAAGTTGTTATGTTTTATCACGCATGACACTGTGTTTTAATTGGTAGAAACTGATCTTTGTCCTATAAAGAATCTTGTTAGACGCCCAGTTAGTTTGTCAAATATAGGTGGGCAGGCCTATTTTCCTGGAAGAAGAATTTAGTATAATCTTTAGTTTGGCTGTTTGTTTGTAGTGGATTTGCCAAAGTTATTTTTACCTCTTAGAATGTAGAGCTGGCCATGGCGGAGAATGTGGGGTGACTTCTAGCTCCCCTAGAAGAAAAGAAACGGAGATGTATCCAACCCTTCTTTCTGAAATGCAGCAATGGAGAGATCATTTGCCATGTAATAGACTGGCCATATATTAAGGCCCAGATCAAGGAAGAGCAAAAACAAAGAGAACCATTTAGCTCATTCTAGAACTGAGTCAAAAGGAAGAGAAATATATGTTTATGTGACCCATCTTGCTTGGGGTTAACTTGCATTCTGGGAACTGACTAAAGTTGTAAACTTATACAACTGATCACTAAGCATGTTGTGCAACCTTTGGGTCTAAAGCCTATCAAATTAGAGATTCTAGGCCCCAACTAGGCACACGATGTATTCAAGTTACTGTATTACACTCTATTAAAAGTATTTCATGTCTTAAGAGACAAATCTGATTTTCAGATAAATCACCCCTTGAGCCCAAATTCACTTATTTGTCAAATAGTCACTCAGCTGGAGATACTCAACTACCACTAAACCCTTGATTCAACCCACTTCAGAAACAGCATGTGGCTGATATCAGTGTTCTACTGAAACCTGAATCTCCACAAGCTTATACTGACTCTAGCTCAGGTTCTTTGTTAGTCATCCTAGAGGGGCCTAATACCTCAGGAGGTAACTGAACCAGAAAATCGAAATTATTTTAGCCTAAATATCCCTGGCCATGGCCAAAGTCCCCTTTATTGAGTCTAATATGGAAAAAGAGTCTACTTACCTTCCAAGGCTTATGACCACTTGTACAATATGTCACCCCTGAACCTGTGACTTCTACTTTAGCAAACATGCCTCCTCAGCTGGTATGCTTTATACATGAAATGCTCAATTTAAAACAGCAGCCAGCCTGACATTGCTATAGGCAATCAATGGAGATAGACTCAGGCAAGAATAGATGCTTTGAGCTGAAGACAGGTTGTCTCAGTAAGAGAGGAAATTCTTAGATTTCTAAATGGAAAGTGGAAAGAGCCAATGTGAAGCACAGGATAGACTCTTAGACCAAATCAGCTTTTACCTTGGATGAATAGTTTGATGGTTATATTCTGTAAGCTGATCAGGACTATTTATGTATACCTTAAATCATGAAGTAGAACACTCCTGTTACAAAGATACATAAATACATGCACAATTTCTCCAACTATGAGATTTATATAACTTAGAAAAAGTAATATGATTGACAGAATTTGTTGTTTATAAAATTAGTGACACTGAAAATAGGGTTCTGTGGAAAAAGTGGTAAAAATAGATTTAAATAATGTTTTTAACTATAATAAATAAGTCTTCCAAAAAACATCTGCTTCTAAAACAAACCAAATTTATCTCCATTAAAAACCTGCTTAGGCAAGTAAGTCTTATCCTGAATCCCTTTCTTTAATTGTTCAGGGAATATTGCTTTGCTATCTATCTGCTCATCTAGTGATATGTTTATTCAAACTATACTACTTTTTAAAGTTTGCACACTACATATACTGGTTTAAAATTTAATACCTTGTTCATTTACATTTGGTTTCTCTTTTTTTTTTTTCAAATCACAAGAAATGCTTATGCTACCACTTGGCCCTTTCACAAATTATAGAAAATATAAGGTCATGTTATTAGGGTTTGGTAGCTTGTTCTAATACTAAGAGGGGAGAGTGCAGATGGGTTTGCTTTTGCTGCACTACCCAAATAAATGCATTCATGTAGTCTATGGACAGGAAGCAATAATTTTTGTTAAATTATTAAATGTTATTTTATTTTTTAACTTAGTTTAATGAATCAAAGATATTCATTGAGTATTTAAAATATGTATTTGGCTTCTTCTATGAGCCAGGCACTGGGCTATGTGTTAGGAACATATTAATGAATAGAGATACATGGTAGTCCATTTAGGATCACATTCTTATGGTGGTAGACAGATTATAACAAAAATCCCCAGATACTAAAATATAATAGAACAACTGTAGTCAGGGATGACTTCCATCATGAGGTAACCCCAGATCTCAGACTTAAAAGGTAAGAAGCAGCAAGTCCTAAAAAGAGAAGAGGAAATATTCTAACCAACAGCAATAGTGGGAGCAAAGCCAGGAAGCAGGAAGAGCTCAAAATGTTAACGGAAGCAAGGGGAGACAATGTGCCTTGAGTATATTGAGTAAGTGCATAAGATGGGGTCAGAGACGTAGGAGGGACAGGATCATTCAAGCCTTGTAGTAAATGAAATGAAGTTCAAGGAGCATTTAAAGTAGCAGTGAAACATCATCTGTTTCTCTAAAATAAAGAATCATTAAGAAGAATAGATTCTATGAGTTGGGAGGCAGGGCTTAGAAGACAGTGCTCTGGGTAATAAGATCATATGATGGTGATGCATATGAAGACAAGTGAATAGTTTAGGCTTATTTTAGTAAGTAAATGGATACTTTTAAAGGGCATAAATAGATAAAGAAAGGGGGCAAAACTAAGATTTATTCCTAGGTTTTTGGCATAAGCTACTGGAGGGATGGTAGAAAACTTTAATGGGATGGCTGTGTCCCCATTCATATCTCATCTTGAATTATAGCTCCCACAATTCCCATGTGTTGCGGAAGGGACTTGGTGGGAGGTAATTGAATCATGGGGGCGGGTCTTTCTCTGTGCTATTCTCGTGATAGTGAATAAGTCCCATGAGATCTGATGGTTTTATAAGGAGAGTTACCCTGCACAAGCTCTCTTCTCTTGTCTGCTGCCATGTGAGACATGCCTTTCACCTTCTGCCATGATTTTGAGGCCTCCCCAGTCACGTGGAACTATGAGTCTATTAAACTTCTTTATTTTGTAAATTGTCCAGTCTTTGGTATGTCTTTATCAGCAATGTGAAAACAGACTAATACATGAGATTTGAACAGTATAATAAGCAAAGGGCTGTGAGGTGTCAGGTAAAGAAGAGCTAGTTTGGAACATATTAAGTTAGAAAAATGTATACTGTATATCCATGTGGAGATAGCAAGAAAGTATTTAGTTTTTTGAGGTGGGGACTAGACATGAACATTTGGGAGTTTTAGTTTATAGATAATATTTAAGCCATGGAACTGGAGGATATTACCCATGGAGAAAGTTGATTTGGTAGAGCAAAGACTGCCCAGGAACAATATTTGGCGAACTCTAACATTCAGATCATCTATTGCTAGATGAACCAAGAGTAACCAGCAGCACCTTTGCTGAAAAATAAATAAAAATCATTAATCAACCACACATTTACATGGTCTAATCTTCAATAGCATGTCAATTGAAATATATATCTTAATCTTTTTTCTTTTGAATGTGAATTATTATCTCCATTTTTAAGGAATATTTAAATCCTGCTTTGGACACTCTAGCCTTAGATATTGGAAAATAATATAAGTACAAGCCTATACATAAAGAATTTCCCTATAAATTCTTTTTTACACCCCATTAAAAGAAAAACAACAGTGATAGTGACAGGTTTGGGGATAGTAAATACTAAAAGGGACAACAAACTAGAGATATCTATTCAGCTCAGTACGATCTTGGATAATAAAAAGTTTTCATTTCTATTACTAAATGTGTATTTCTAAATCAGGTAAAGAGATCTATTACTAAATGTGTATTTCTAAATCAAGTGAAGAGAAATTAGACTTCATATTCACCAATTGTTGAGAATTTATTCCTCCTTCAATCCCTCCATTCTGATGGGAGAGCCTTGAGTGAAGAAAGCCAATGAAAAGCTGTCTTGCTCCAGAGACAATATAAGCATTAGAAGGAGTACTAGTAGAGGCTGGGTTTCTAATCAGGGAGTGGCCTGCTATAGGATTCATCATCATTTTCAGATGAAAAATTCAACTTAACCTCCTAGGATATGCAGGGAAGGTTTGTCTGTGCCACTGTTGTTTAGTCCTTTTGTACCAGGGTAATTATTAATAGCATCACTTTCACATGTGTCTGGGTTTCAATGATAAATTATATGGTCACCCAACAAACATCCCCACTTAAGAACAAGCCAAACCAGACAACAAGGTGTGCATCACAGCCAACTGCTGATAAAGAAGTCTTTAACATCACCTCCACTGCTAATAATATTCATTTAGAAGATTAACTCTTTCTCTTCTTTTGGCCACTGTGTCTCCTCCTCCAAAGGAAAAATTGGCTTATAGTGTTTGCATGGTGCTAAATTCTTGTTCTTTAGATATAGTAGGGAAGATGTAAAAGATGGTGATTGAAAATCACATAAGCCAGCCCAGAAGTCCTTGTACCATGGCACTGAACTGATGGGAAAACTGAAGGTTTACGTTAACTTACCTTATGTAATACAACTGTGGAAAAGTTACAGTGTGAACGTAATTGTGATTCCCAAACCTGTGCTTCCAATCACCCCACTCTTCAGTTATCTAGTTTACAGTCAGATGGGGAGTAGAGAGGCTGACTGTAGCACTACTTTAATGCCATCTGTAACACCAGACATCTATCTATAACAGAAGTACAAAGTGAACTCCCCGAAAGTTGAGTTCTGACTAGGGGATTCAAAAAAATCATCTCAAGTAGTTGATCATTAGTTCACTAGTTATGGACAGAAGGAAGTGACAGAAGAAAAGGAACATTTCAAACTAGGGAAATTACATTATTATATTTGTGGAGGCATGAAAGTGCAAGTCAGGTTGAGATTATAGTAACTAAGTGTTGATAAAACTTATGATGCAAGATACATTAAAAAGGAACCTGGAGGAATAGGATAAAGAGATCTTGCTTACCATATAAAAAACATTTTATTTTATTGGACACTTTTGAGATTTTTGTAATGATTATTTTGGTAGCATTCTGAAGGGTGATTTGGAGAGATGGATTATCAAGTAGTAAATTAAAAAGCTGTTGTACAAAGGTTGGATAGCACCTAACCTAGGGGTTAGATAGAGCTAAACACATTTGAGACCTTTTTTAATGTCACCTAAAAATAAAATAAAATAAAATCAGCAAGCACTGAATTAAATGATTGGTATAAGCATTCTGTTTGGACAAAGTTCTACCGAAGAACTGACCCTGTTCAAATATTTTTGAAAAGACAGATGCCCTCTAGGGGAAAAGTAGGCTTGAGCTACTTGGAAAGTCGAATCTACCACCTACAGAAAGAAAAGAAGGTAATGGAGTCAACCCTTGATCTTCATAACAGAAAATTCTGAAACCTTTCTCCCTAAATGTGTTAACTCCTTTACTTTCCTGGTCCTTGTTGCTTTCTCTTTACATCCTACCTAGCACAGGTATTTATCTCTTGTTTCAGGATCATATTCTACCAGGAAAAGGTTTTTTTCACTTAGCAAGAAGTGGTGCATACTTGGAGAGAAGCAGAGGATGTAGAGCTGGGTTGAGTGTGGATACTGGCTGTCCACTGGGCACATTCACAATCTGAAAGGCTCTTTGATCTTGATGGGAACTTCTATTTGCCGCTCTGCAGCAAATCTTTTTCTTCCATATACTAGGACCTCAAATTTTTCTTAGTTTCCCCCCCCCCAGTGTGTGTTTTGAATGATTTACCTCAACTCCAATTTCCAAGTAAGGGCTATGATTGTGTACATCAATCTGCATATCAAACCTTTTGACCACATACATTTGGATTCAGCATTGAGGATACGACCCAATTCTGAGAGATGTTAACAATCTCTTAGGTTTAGCTGGGAATGTAAGACCTTTTCTCTGGCTTTTGATGAGTATGTGACTGTAAGAACTGCTATAAACCACACCAGAAATGTCTAGAGTTGCTTTATGCAGCCCAAGCATGGAACCATCTTGAGGAAGGCAACAAGATAAATGGCTGAAATGATTTACATAAATCGATATACAAATGTTTTTAAAGGAAGCAAAAAGCTAGTACGTGAGTGCAGGTAATGTCTTCAGAAGCTGTGCTATCATCTACCATGCAATAATGCTTTTCTAAGGCATGTTTCGTGATTTTTTTCATGTCTAGATAGGCGAAAAGACAAAAACTGGCATATATCAAAGATTCCGGAAAGAAGATTTGGAATTGGAGAAGTCACAGCTTATCTTAGTTGGGTTTTCTGTTTATAAGACTTGCAAACTTCCAGCAAAAAATTTTTGTCTCAAGATGTAAAAATTACTATATGTCATGAGCATCTGAGTGACTCCTAAATGAGTGAAACCTCATATATTAAAACCAATAATACTACTATTTATTGCACAAGGGATGTAATAACTATACACCTGAGGTCAATAACTGTTTCTCCTTTTGTCTAGCTTATGTTTCTGATTTGGACTCCCCCATAGTACAAAAAAAGTAAATATTATTTAAGTAAAAAATGTCTATGCAATTATTTTACAAGGTAGTAAGTAAAGAGTTTTTGCTTTGGGAAATTTGTGCCCTCCCACTCTATAGCCAATCATCAAAGGAATGGATCCCCAGAGAAGAGAGTGGAGAGTAGTCTACTCTGTTTTTAAAAGGATATAAAGAAGTTGAAATAATTACATCTTGACAGGTAGGAGACTAAGCTCCTGGAGCTGACTTAGTTCTCAAAAAGGTTTGGAGAGCTTACAAATGGAAAAAACAATCATAACTTCAAAATTCCAGACAACCCAGTAGAAAATTATTTCTACTCCCTTCTCAGCATTTGCAAGAAACTTAACCTAGAGATCCTAGAAAAAAGCCTTTAAATGTATAGATTTAGATGTATATATGTATTGACACTAAACTTCTTTCAACAAAATGTATAATTATTTGTAGGGAAGTGAACATTTCCAAAGAAGATCACAGGTTCACAATACTTAAAAACAGGGACATCTATCTACACTTTGGGTGTGGAACTTTATATTATACATGGTATAACAATCTGTATGAATGCAATGTATTTCATATTGTAAAATAGTACATATAATATACAACAGTTCATCTGTCAAAGTTACTCATAATCAAAAAAGCAACCCACTTGTTTAAA